>NC_000010.11:37008495-37312777 GCF_000001405.40 Homo sapiens | reverse complement strand
AGTTTCTCAGTATTCAGTGGCCTTGAGCTTATATTATTTTTATAAAGCAATATTAACAAATTTCTCCTAAATGAGAGCTGGTACATGGCAGCTTACTCAAGAATGCTGTCATAGGCAAACATTTTCTGTGAATATAAGCTAAGGGATTCTAAAACAGTTCTGGGTAATTTAAACTTCATACTTCTAAGACAAATATTCATTAGCTAGGTATCACATATACTCAATCAATTATTTTAATAAAAGATAGGTTTGGTTCCTCATGAAAATTTTGGTTAAAAGGACAATAGAGTAGGCATTTTATGGAGTTCCAAATCTGACTTAAATAGTGTAATAATAATGGATCTGCATCCAGAAAGTTGACAGACTCCAAGAAAAAAGTGACTGAATTATCTCATTCTGGTTCTCTTTACTTACTCTTAACAGCCCAGGTCCAGAAATTCAAGTTAGAAACTGGGCAAAAAAAAAAAAAAAAAAAAAAAAAAGGAGAAGGTGCAGAAATATGGAGCAACTCAGTTTCTTAAGTGCTCACAGAAATATATTTGAAAAGGTAGGCCTGCCTTGCACTGGAATTTAAAAGCTCTTTCCAAAGAGAATGATGGCCACGAAAATTTAAAACAAAACAAAACATCCTTAAGATTGACCGAAGGCAGCAGGTCACAGTGGCTCACTCCTGTAATCCCAGTAGTTTGGGGGGCCAAGGAGGGCAGATCACCAGGTCAGGAGTTTGAGACCAGTCTGGCCAACATAGTGAAACCCTGTCTCTACTAAAAATACAAAAAATTAGCCAAGTTTAGTGTTGAACACCTGTAATCCCAGCTACTTGGGAGGCTGAAGCAGGAGAACTGCATGAACCCGGAATGCAGAGGTTGCAGTCAGCTGAGATCAGGCCATTGCACTCCAGCCCAAGCAACAGCGTGAAACTTCATCTCAAAACAAAACAAAATAAAACAAAACAAAACAAAACAAAAACAAAACTGACCAAAGGCAATATGAAAGAACAGCAGCATCACCTTGGAAGCTCCCTAACATTACCGTGTGTTGCCATCACAAAATAAGACCTTCAGCTGCTCCTCATTTTCCTCTCACTACTGTAAACCTATTCTGGGAACTTCAAGGTGCGTCGTAGCATATTGTGCCTCAGTAAATATTTGAAAACATATATCCAATGATGGGTGGTTGGGGACAAACAGGATTAATATTTTTGTTTAGTGCATGGGAAGAAAAAAACAACATGTTTTCTAAAGCTGCAAATTCAGAAAGATAAATCACAGTGAAGCACTGTAGCCTTCTCAGAGGAAAGCAACTCACAATATGCCTTTTCTCCTTGGAAGAAGCCTCTGAATTTACTTGCCTCAACAAATACTTTTGGTTTGGAGTATAATATGAGACATAATATGGGCCTCATGATCAAAGAGAAAATGCCCAAATAAACTCACCAAATTCTTGTTTTTGAGGAGACGGATGAGTATAGTTTAGATATTAAATAGATATTACAAATTGAGCATATATATACTTTGGGCAAATACTCCAGGTGACAGCCAATATATACTATCTTTCCCGGTCCCCTCAACAAAACAAGACAAAAATACCTTTCAGAAAAGTGCCTCTGGACTTCAGTAGGGGTCTTTCTGGCTCAGCCCAGAGATGAGATGCTGTGGTCCCATGGAAATAGCTGAGTTCTGGGGCTGTGATGCCAGGTGGTGGGCAGCAGCTTGTTCCTGTGGGCAGCACTATTCTGTATTTATCTAAAACTAACTTATCTTTGCAAAACTGAACAAATTCAGTAAGGGAATATGCTGTGTCACAACTGGACATATCAGTTGAAAGAGCAAATAACAGAACTAATATTTTCATACAGTATATCCGTTAGATTAAGAAAACAGCTTTTCTGGCTATAATCTTTTTATTTCCAAAGGGTTATGACTCTGCTATTTTCAGAACATGGTTTTACCAAAGAAAATGGAAGTAGTGATAAATCAAAACATTTAAGAAATTAAAATGATTTTTTATGAACAGTTAAAAAACTTAATGAATGGGGGAAAAAACAAAATATGGCTGTAATATTCTTTCTCCCTTCTCTCTTTGCATTAGCCATCATTGGTTGTCAAGATAATGCCAAAATGAACACTGTCCCAAAAGACATCCTTGACTGTCAGGCAAGAAAAATTCTCAATGAGTGTGGGAGAAATGGTGAGATAAAAATGAAATCTGATGTCTTTTCCTAGAAGGTTTGAATTAAAATCTCAATTGTCAACATCAGGAACCCAAAGTAATTGTGTTTGCCCAAGGTAAAGCTGAGCTCAGAGTCTCAATTTCCTTTTTTTTTAGATGGAGTCTGGCTCAGCCGCCCAGGCTGGAATGCAGTTGCACGATCTCAGCTCACTGCAACCACCGTCTCCTGGGTTCAAGCGACTCTCCCATCTCAGCCTCCCAAGTAGCTGGGATTACAGGTGCCCATTATCATGCCCGGCTACTTTTTGTATTTTAGTAGAGATGGGGTTTCACCATGTTGGCCAGGCGGTTCTTGAACTCCTGACCTCAGGTAATCCACCCACTTCAGCATCCCAAAGTGCTAGGATTACAGGCGTGAGCCACCACACCCAGCCCAGAGTCTCAATTTTCAAGGAAGTTGCCACCTATTTGCAGGAGAAATTGGAACCACCCGAAACAACAATCAGTATTATGTTTTACAAGCAGCCCCTCCTTTTGCTTATGGATAAAATTAAAATTTACAAAATCTTGGAAATCAGTCACTGCATTTACATTGTACACAAGATATCTTGGAAGTAATATATTTTAGAACATAAAAGAAAAATTTAAGTAGTATTTTCTATTTTACCTACATAGTAATGCCATCTTTGTGACTGATTTTCTCATAGACATGTGAGCTACCTCTCTAGAAGAATTTATTGTAAATATATTTATTTTGGGATATTTGGAAAAATGAAGAATACTTCACTCTTCTAATTTGAAATGCCTTACCTATACATGGTTTTTCTCTAAGCATGGGATGTGAAGCTGGGCCATATTTGTGATCTTTGTGATCACATAGCACTCAGTTTAAGGTATAAACCGAGATAAACTTTGAGTCATACTTTCTCAACTTGATGGAATGGGTGCGTACTTAGAAACTCTGCCTACAAGGCAGCATCCCTATTGACTTCACGGGTTCTCTCAAAGCTCCTTTTTGTCTATATATTTTCTTACCATAACATATCCTTTCTTTTCTTTTTCTATTTTTTAAGATACAGGGTCTTGCTCTCTTGCCCAGCCTGGACTGCAGTGACAGGTCACTGTAGCCTCAAACTCCCGGGTTCAAGTGATCCTCTTACTTCAGTTTCCCAAGTAGCTGATATTACAGGTATGCACCACCATGCCCAGTTAATTTTTAAATTTTTCTATTGCTGTCTGTATTTTCATATCAAGATAAAGCACAAGTTTAGATTTACCTTTTTTTTTTAAAAAATAATCTTTTACTGGGAGGTGGCAAGAGACCCATTTCTTCAGAATTCCTGTATGGCTCATATTCTGTGTCAGGGATTGTGGGAAAGACAATTCCAGGGATAGATGAGCCCCGCACTCATCTCTTCAACTTACACTCTCCATGCCACATCTTCAAACAGGAAGTAGAAACCAGAAATAATCCCAACCAGAAGTGTGCACAGCTCAGGATCACAGTTGCTTGCAAGAAACAGAAGTGACACGTTTGAGTATTCTCTCTTTCAAAAATGGTGCAATGCAATTTCATCAAGGCATTCATTTCACTACACCAAAGCAACAAGTACTATTAAATTTAATGAGAGGTAACCCATGCACCGGCAGGAAGTTCAAGGGGACAGAAGGGGCTTGCTCCACTCTGGAGCCCTATCTCCTCTCACCTCCTTCCTTCTAGTTTGACATGCGATCTTGTCTCTCTCTTTTATAAAGTGCTTCCAGGCCCTTTTGATTAGGATGCTGTCCTAAATCCTTCCTAAAGAGAGGTTTTGGAGCCACCAACACTGCTTCACTGTGGAATAAACTTTCCTTATTAAGATTCTTCATTCACTCATAATCATCTCCTTTTTCCTCACTGCTCATTCATTTATGGAGATAGCACCCATATCATAGCTACTTGGTCAAATCATGGTGATACTCCCCACTTAGGAGAGGAAGATGACTAGGTTATAGCTCTTGCCTTTAGGAAATTAAAAACCCTGTGGTGTAATCTACATTACACAGTGGAATATGGCATATATCATGAAAAAATCCTATGCAGTTTCTGAGAGGACTTCTTAAAGATGAAAAAGTGAGGAATGTACCTGGAAAGATGAACAGGATTGCAGCAGATAGAGACAGGTAGAAGGAGAGAGATTCCAAGTGGAAGGATAAAGGAGAGGGAAGAGAAGCAAAGAGTGCAACTTCCAAGAAGATTTTCTGGTTTCTGGCACTGGTCATAGATAGCTTGGGAGGAAACAGGCAGAGAGGGTTTTGGAGAAACAGAGCTGCAAAGCCAAGTTAGATGTTAGGTGAGTTGAAAAAATAACTTAGGGCAAAAGCAGAGGGAGGGAGGTATTTACTCTGAACAGAGATGACAGGGTGGGGAGGACAGATTGTTTTGAGTAGGCAAAGGCCAGGAGCATGAAGCAAGCTAGGAATTGGGAGGCTGGCCTAGAAGCATGGGCCACCTGGGAAAGGGACAAAAGTTAAAGTATGACAAACCCTTTGTGTTCACCAAATTTCTTTTCTGGAGTCCTTAACCATTTGATCTTACTGGAATAGAAGTTATACTAGAACTCACTGCAAAGTGGAGTAAGGCTTACAGAGGGAAAACAGCAGAGGGCCTAATGCAAGATTAACCTTCTCAGGGACCCCTGCAGGGACTGGGAGTGCTAAGAATCAGGGAGGCTTGGAGCAGCTCACTTTACAGTATAATGAGAACAGGACTCACCTGGCTCAGGCCTGGCATCCAATCATCAGCCCACTCTGGTTTCCATCCTCTGCGCTAGCTGAAAGGCCACATGTACTGCAGCCATTGTTGCTCCCTTTGCCCTTCAGGGTGTCTTTCCCCAGCATCTGTCCCTGCAGCACCCCCACCCCCTCACTCTAATTCTGAGCACTCAAATTGCCCATCAGTCCAAGCCTTCTCCTAATCACAGCCCTCCTACCTCTGAGCCCCTTCATGGAGCCCTGTTCATGGTGCTTGGCATTTTATGACAACTAAACCAAAAAGCAGTGAGGTTTGAAAAAAAAGAGCCAAAAGTCAATCCTGGCAGGGGAGGATTTGCTCTTTGTCTTAAAAAACCAAGAGTACCAGCTTTTGATGGAAAAATTTCAAACCTCAAACAGTGAGTACATTTTGCCCCATCAATTACATCTCTCAGAATTCATCCTAAGGAAAAAAGAAAATGTGTAAAGATCAAGTACAAGAACATTCATGAAAGTGCTATACTATCACATAAACTAGAAATAGATGTCCCACAAGAAGATCTATAATATACTGTGGCACTTACATACAATGAACTTCTGTGCAGCAATTAAAGTAATATAGAATTATCATAGAGAGATGTCATATTCTATGGCTATTGCATAACATGGAATCTATGACAATATCTCATAGAGGACCTATGAAAGGGAAGGGAAGCACGATTGACCCAAGCCTCAAAATTAAACTTGAGGTGTTATCCCCAGATGAGGTAGGTGTACACACAAGTTATATATATAATCTTACACATCTTTATTATGTCACATCTGTGTTCTGTGACACATCAATATATACCATAATTTTCATAGTCCTGATTTGGTATTTCCTCAACTTAGCAAAAACATTCTGGAACTTCAAAAACAGTGGACAGCCAAGCCCTGATGGACTTGAGAGTACCTACCTTTATGTACATACTTATATATTCAAAACAAATGCATGGAATGGTAGGTGGAAATGAGTATCTGGGTGGCAGGACTGTATTGTCATATCTCTTTGTCTGTCTCTATTTCCTGTTTCTTTTCCATAATAGTAAAACTCAACTTTTCCTCCCCAAACAAGGAAACTACAAGAAAGGACTTGGATTTGCCTGCTCCTTCTGCCTCCTATTGTCATGCTTCTGAGGTAAATAGCATCTCTGGAGTCCAGCCAGGACCTTGGATTTTGCTCATGCTAGAAATGCCCAGGGTGGTGCTTGGTCCACAGAAGGTGGATTTGTTCAAGCTGTACTTCTGAAGACACATGTGGGATAATTAACAAGGTATATTTCTTTTAAAAAGCACTGTTGATTTTACAACACTAAGATATTATTTAAAATAGATTATGACTCATATGTATCCCATAAACATGTAAAATATCATGTATCAATAAAAATAGATTTCACTTAGAACTGTAGTTGCTGAAAAAAAAATGAACTTTGAACTCTCCTGTTGAAAATACAAAGCCCCTCCCAAATGAACAGAGGTTATATGGAGATCTGGAAGTATTGCTGTGTTGCTGGTCTTCAAAACTAAGATCTGTAAATATAACACACATTATAACTAATTTTAAAGGTGTGTCTCAGAAAGTTTCCTACTGCCCTGATTTTTACAGATGAATTGAGATCTGGAATCCTAAAATCATTCTAAGGCAATCTACTGACCTCTTAGGTGTTATATGCCTAGGAACCCACTGCAGTAAATTACAGGAAAGTGAGGCTCAGGTGGGTGAAATTCTTGATACGTTAGGACACAAGCTGGTGAGAGCTGAAGACAGAATTAGAGGCTTATCTTATCGTAAGGCCATTGAGCTGTGCAGCACTGCTCTGGGGTTAAATTACAAAGAATATTAATGAAAGACACTCATGAACCTGGGGATCAGGATTAGAGAATGCATTAGCTTCAGCCATGTTACTAATCATACACACCACAGAGCCCGAGGACCAGCCATTCATAAATGTGGTGACAGACTACAAAAATGTTCCTTCCTTCCTTCCTTCTTTCTTTTCTTCCTTCCTTCTTTTTCTTTTCTTCCTTCCTTCTGTCTTTTCTTCCTTCCTTCTTTTTCTTTTCTTCCTTCCTTCTTTTTCTTTTCTTCCTTCCTTCTTTTTCTTTTTTTTTTTTCTGGAGTAACCAGTGTGACATAAGATCTGTTTGTGTTCCCCCATTTTACAAAAGAAAATTTAAGTCTGCAACTTCCCCTAGGCATCTGCAGCAGAGAGTGGATTTGTCAACATGCAAAGCTGCTGATCTGCCCCTGCATGCTGCTCCCTGCCCTAAGTGTGAGGAGGATGAACTGCCCTCTTTTCACCTGCACCTCCCTGGATGGAACAGAGCATCTCCATAATACTTTATGCAGAAGTATCACTTCTATTTAACACCAGAAACCCCAGGCACCAACTTTAAATTTTAAATAAAGGAAAATGTGGACCACTTGCAATGTTACAAAGCAAAAAGAAACACAAGAGGCAAATATTCCAATCTATTCTCCACTCTCAGCATTAACACAACAAAATAAAACAAAACCTGCAACGACAATCAGATTTGTAAAAATACTAGTAGTCAGAATCCCCACCTTATCTTCTCAACAATTTGGCTTTCCAAAATCATTGGTTTTCATGAGTGTGCATGTCAAAAGTTAAATCCCGTTCTCTTGTTACTGTGAGCTGTTTTAGAAAGGGTGGGAATGTAAGTTCTGAACATACCTGCTAAAGGTGGCTGTGCAACGCTGACAGTTAGTAACTGTGCACCCTTCAAAGAGGCTGGCTGAGTTGCAGGTGTGCTGAGCTCAACCATGATCTGCTGGGAATGCACATTCTCAGTGCAGGACAAATGAAATTGGTTCTAACTCTGCAATGCAGCAGAAAAAAGAAATGGCTAGGCATGATGAATTATGCCTGAAATTCCAGCAATTTGGGAGGCTGAGGCAGAAGGATGGTTTGAGACCATTCTAGCAAATAGAATGGTCTATTTCAGACCAGTCTAGGAAAAAAAGTGAGACTTCTGTCTCTACAAAAAATAAAACTAGCTGGTTATGGTGGTGCACCTGTAAGTTCCAGCAACTGGGAGGCTGAGGAGGGAGGCTGAGGAGCGCTTGTGCCCAAGAGAATGAGGCTGCACTAAGCTATGATTGTGCCACTGTACTCCAGCCTGGATGACAAAGTGACACCCTGTCTGGTAAAATAAATTACCACGGGCAGATAAAGTGCTCAGTGAGCCCACACTAATTTGCCACAGAAGGGTGGAAGCAAATTCAAGGCTGAAATCTAGCTCTTCATTTCCTGAAATCATTCATGCCCACTCTCTCCTGGCATGAAATGCTGATAACCTGGTTTCAATTTTAAGCTTAAATTTACAGCAAACAGTGCAGGTATCTCAGTTCAATGCCTTGGAACCTCCTCTAAAGATGATTCTACTAACACTCATTTCAGAAGTGAGTGCAAAATAATTTTTACATAAACAACCAAGTAATCCCACAGCGCCTGCATACCTATTATAACTCAAAAACTACCCTGCACACCTGAGCATGATGTTTAAATACCAAGCCACTGGTATGTCTGGAACACATGCACAAAGGAGACGTAAACCCACAGCTTCTAGCACAAACATCTGCCAACTTAGCTTTCTTGTCACCTGCAACTAATGGTGGGTGAGATTGAGTAATCCCATGAAAATATCATTCCTACAAATTTAGTCACTAAAAACAAAAGATATAACAAACACACTCTTGTTGACAGTAGGCCTTATCAATGTTATTTGTCACTAAGGCACAAAGGAGTTTCATCAATGGACCTTGCTTTTTTGAAACCAGAAAAGTTAGTGGCGGTTTACTGACAGAATGACAGAGCAAGGGTTTCTCAAAATCATCCCCTTATGCTCCTAACGAGCATATTTACCCTCCAGAAAAAATGAGGCAATGCTTTCTGGGGGTTATAATTTAAATACACTAAAATGCATAAATCTTACACATTTAGTTTTTAGCGTTTTAGCAACTGTCTACACCTGTGTAACTACGATGCAAAACAAGATATAGGACATTTTTATTATTTCAGAAAGTTCTCCTGTGCCCTTTTCAGTCAATCTCCACACTCGATAGATAATTACTGCCCTGACTGCTGTCACCATAGCTAAGTTTTGACTATTCCCAAAGTTCACATAAATGGAATGACAAAGAATGAGTTATGTCAAATCTGGCTTCAACATAATGTCTTTGAGATGAATTCATGTTGTTACACGTACCTGTAACACATTCATTTTATTTTTGGAATGTTATTCCATTGTATGAATATATAACAATTTCTTTATCCAATCTCTTGTTTGTGGATGTTTGGATTATTTCCAGTTTAGACCTATTATTAAGAATAAGGCTGCTATGGACAAGCTTCTACAAGTCTTTTTCGTGGACATGTTTCCATTTTTTTCACATAAACAAGTGGAAGTGGGATTGCCATGTTATTTGGGAAGATTATGTTTAGCTTTATAAGAAACAGCCAAAGAGTTCTCCAAAGTGGCTGTCAGGACAAGGTAAATGCACATGCATTCTAGTTGCTCCAGGTCCTTGCCAGCATTTGGTATGGCATCTTTCTGATACGAGCCACTCTAGCGGCTCATGGGGAAATGGGGCTGTGCATGAGATGGGACTACCCTGATCAACTTTCCCAGTGCCAGTGAGCTACCTCAGACTGAACCTACATGAGAGGGGTTGCTCTCCACTGACTCATAGGACAGCCCAAGGTTATGTGGAGGCAGTGAGTTATCTCAACTGATTGCTCAGTCAATTACAGATTCAACTCCTCCTTCTATTCTTTCCCTACTTCTCAATACTGTACTTTACTAGTCCTTAAACACATTTTTTTTTTTTTACTTAAAAAAAAGAAGCTCCAGAAAGGAAACTTTGAAGCAAAATAAGGACTCCCTCTCCCTCCAGAACATAAAGAATGAGGTGTGTTTTGTTTGAGTTGGTGGCAACATTTAAACTCTTGTTTATCCCCTAGGAGGTAAGGAGAAGATATTTTCCAATTTTCCCAAACAGGGTGTTATGAGGTAAAGTTCTGTGAGAGAAAGGTGAGGCCCTTAAATCTGTCAAATTATTAACTGATTTTTCTTCTACAGGTGGTGATTTTTTGAATTTCCTATCTTTGTCTTTAGCACCCAATTTTAGAGACCAAATGGTTGGTCTAATCAAATAGTTATTTTGTGTTATCCAGAATGACCCCTGCATTCCACTCTCCAGTAACTTCCTGAAGCTTTTATCTTGATGTAAAAACAGGGCAGTTTCCACACCATTCTCCAGAGGGTGATGTGAGAAACCGAGGAAGGGAAACAGCATATTGCTGCTGAAACATGTGACTCCATTCCAAGGTTAGAATAGAACAGGTTTAAAACTGGTACTGTGTGGTTTAAAGATAAGCAGCCTGTGCTGTCTTTTATTTTCAGAAATAACATAAATAAACAACAATTACTGAACGCAATGTGCAATCTCTATCTTCTGTGTTTCGGGGTCAATTGTCTAACAGGAGCCACAGGAAGAGCTTCAGAGGCACCCAGATGCCAAGCCTCAATTCCCACTGTGACTCTACTCTGGCAGAGGTGAGACTTCACCTTCCAGAAACTATGCTGGGGGCCTCTGTGTCTGTGGCATATTGTTTATATTGTGTGTTTATAGGCAATTTTAACAATCACTGTTTCTAGATTGCAACCCTCCTGAGGCACTGCGCTGACACAGCAAAGTTATTCCCCTTACTGAAGAGAAAAATTAGAGGCCTAAACACCACAGAAGCCCTGATAATATGGAATATTAGCATCAATGTCAGAGCACAGTATTTAGGACAGATACTGATAAAGACAGCATAGATGACCACCTCACCTTGTCACCACCTGAGCGAGGAGCCCTTAAAAGATGGGTTTCCTCCCCGTGATTACGGCCTGCTGGCTTCTCCAGGACTGGGTTAAGGCACAGCTAAAGCTGTTCTCTTGGCCCTGCAGAGCCAAACCCTGGACCTTTCCAGGAAATGGATAAATACCATTTCACTTCATTCATTCACTGCTGCCTGTGGTGCCTGAATACATGCCCTGTGGCATCATCTGTGAGTTACCCACACTTCCCACAGCAGATGCATAGGGAGGAGGTACTTTACTCACCCTTCCTCTGACAGAAAAGGATGAAGTCAAGGGCCTGGTAGAGGCACCACTAAGAAAGGCATCTGAAAGGACCAAAGAGAGTGACCAGCAAGCATTTTTTGCAAGGCTGAGGAGCTGACAGCTTCCATGAAAGGCTGGACCACCCAGTGGTGAAAAGCATCATCTGGGTTACCTTGTGCTGCCATAAAACACACCACAGACTTGGTGACTTAAACCACAGATATTTATCTTCTCACAATCCTGGAGGCTGGAAGTCTGCAATCACGGTGCCAGCATGGTCAGGTTCTGGTGAGGGCCTCTTTCCTTCTCACTGTGTGCTCTTTCTTGTGCATGGAGAGAGAGAGCATGAACAAGCCCTCTACTGTCCCTCTTAGAAGGGCACTAATCCCATAATAAGGCATCCACCCTCCTGACCTCGGCTAACCCTAGTTAAGTACTCAAGGCCCTAATCTCAATACCATCACATTGGTGGTTAGGGCTGTAACATTGGGATATGGGGCAAGACACAAACATTCAATCCAAAGCAAGCATGTCCACACTGTTGGGACTCCAATCCCACTTTTGTCATTGAGTCATTATTTAACCACTGTACCTCAGTTTTGTCCTCTTTAAAATAAGGAAAATATACCTTGTAGGGTTACTGTGAGACTTAAATGAATTACTAAATGTAAAAAACTTTATAAGATTCTTGGCACATGGTAACTGCCATACCTATTACCCATAACTAACTGATTTTTTACACAATTTACTATAATATAACCACAATTCTTATTCAAACATCCTGGACCTAGCTAACAGTGACACGTGATGATTTCTGAATGAGTTTTGAGAAGAAACTGAGTCCCAAAGAGTGCAACTTTCTCCCACTGTCAGAAGGCCTACACACCACTCTTCTCAGAGAGGTGGAAGAATTGAGCTGTGCTTTGGAACTCTCGATTACATCAGGAACAGATTGCTGATTGGTGACAGATAGCAAGTGTTAATAGTGATGTTGGTGCTGAGACAAAGCTGACATCTCTTCATCATGCTCCAATACAAGCATCATTCCCTTGTGCCCAATGCCGATTGGCTGCCTTCTATTTTAATTAATTGATGCTGGTAAACTTTCTCTTACAATGCGGTGGCAAGTCCTGCTTCTTATCTTTACAGAACTTCACTCAGGACACACTCAGATGTTGCTCTTTGATCATGAAGGATGTTCACCAGCAACTTAGTGCCCAAATAGACAAGAGAAAGGGGGGGTGATGATTGCTCATGAGAAGTGTTGTTCACATAGCTGCACATCAAACTGCTGAACTGGGTGCCTGCCTCAGTCAGGGCCCCAGGAAGAAGGGGGTGATTCTCAGCCTAAGTTGTGCTCCAGAGCCTCAGCTGCTTCTGCAGGGCTGGGGAGGGAATAAGGCCACCTCCATTACACAGAGTGGAACTGCCCAGGCCATTTGCTTATTTGATCCTTATCACTGAGAAAAGGAATTTCAGAGCTGGAAGTCCTGGAAGTCCTGGAAACCATCTTGGCACTCAGTCTTTTCTGTAGCCTCCAAGATGGCAGGAATCATAAGCTGGAGACATCTAGTTATTGTTGCTGCTGTTGATGAAGACTCCTCTCGCCCCAACAGTGGGCCTCACAGGTGCTAAAGACAAGTGGTCACCCACAGGGCTTAATGGCAGTGACCCTGGGAGGGACAGCGTCCCTAGCCTCTACTTTTCTACATGGAATTAATGAAAATGTAGAGAATAGAAGACACAGAATGTATATACACATGAACATATCCTGAATAAGAGCTATTTTATCTCACTGAAAAGTTCGTATCAATCACTTATTGGGGCATTCAGAGCATCCTTTGAAAGGCCAGTGTGACCTGAAGATTCATGGATCCTAAATTAGAGTACTGCCTGTGCGTAGCTGCATTAAACCAAATGATCAAGAATATCAAGATACATCTTCCTGGATCTTCAATCCCACTTAAAGATTTGGAGAACATATCATTTTATATTAAAACCAATAACATTTTCAGAATACATTTGAATAATTTCTTTTTACCTAAAAACAGAGTCTTTAAATAAGTATCATTTTTGAGATGCATTGCCATAGGATACATACTGAGGTGTCTTCTCTTTCTCTTACCTATTAGAGGCATTTCTGGGCAAGTTTGAGGAGCATGGAATTAACAGTCATCAATGCATTGCTGGATTTGAAAATGATTTATATCAATCAGCAGAGGACCTCCACTGGTGATGTCAGCAGGATCTGAGGATGTTCAGGTAGACATGCTATGCTTTGAATCTCCAAACTTGAACGACATTATGACTGTGCTCATAGCCAGGCTTCCCTTGCTTGTGGTCATTGCTGTGGATCAAGGTTGTTTTGCCTTCCATGCAGTGGATTTGCTGAGGTGCTTCTCAATCTGTATCTCAGAATTGAGATGTATGAGAAAGATTCTCAGGAGGGGAGAGATATCCTCTTGGGGACACGACCATTGGCTTCCTTGGCCTCATTGAGTAGCAGTGAATATGGACCAGGGGAGGAGAGCGGCAGGACTCACAGGGATGGTCTCAGCAGTGGAGGATGGTGGCAAAGAGTGAGGACTTAAGATTCAGATGAACCTTGCCTGGAACTGTGCCTCTGTGCCTTAGACTGCAACACTTCAGAGGTTAATTAACTTCTCTGTGCCTCACTTCCCCCTCTGTAAAACCAAGACAGCAGTAGAACTCACAGGGCTGCCCTGCCTAGCACAGTTAGCTGTACTCCTACTTCCACACATTCCATTTCACCAAAAGCCCAAGAAGCTATGAAATGAAAACTTCAAAACTAAGCTATGTTTCTTCGTTCCTCAAATTCTACTTCTCCACCCACAAATATGTGTACACTGATCTTAAAACAGCTCTGGCTGTAAAATCACTTTGCTGGAGTCAATGAGGTAAGAGGCTAGAACACAATACTAGGGATCTGACCCCTGCAGGCTGGCCATGATCCATCCCTCAGGCAGCCTTCCCAGAGCAGAAAAATCCAGGGAGCCACTTAATGAGACGTTTTCTTTAATGTTTTCTTTAACTCTGACAATTGCAACTGAAATTTAGCAGGAGCTTGTAGCCCTCCAAAATTCTTTCTCTTTCTTTCTCTCTCCCTCTCTCCCTCTTGCTGCTACTCTTTTTACTGCTTTTATGCACCAAACTTCATGGTTTTTTTTTTAATGGAATGATGTTCTTGGGGAAGAAAAGATTTAATAAAGATATCATGGTAACACCAATGAAAATTGTAAAAAAGTCCAAATTTAAAAGTTAAAATCTTGGTATCTACTTTTAACATTGATTTATTTCCTTTATAAAATGAATAATGTTACAACCACTACAACCATGCCTTTCTTCCGCCAGCGGTTTTTGAACGCTTATTGCACGTCAACCTCTTGTTTACTTCTCAGAGACACAAATATGAAGAAAGCACAGTCCCCAAAGCTTACTGATAGGCACAGGCTCTACACATCTGACAGAATGGGATGTGTATCTGAGACTAGTGATTCATTTATACACACACCCTTATGGGTGCACAGGAGGATTCACCAGCACACCCTGCAATCACTCCAAACTTCCAACAGAAGTTTTCCAAATCATAAACACTTTCAAATTTAGTCTAAAATCAACCCTCACTTTCTCCCCCTTTTCCCTAATACTTCCTATTTTCATCAATGACACACTGCCCTCAGGCATAAGTGAAAGGTGGGTCTTGGTTTCAGTTTCTACTCTCTTCTATCCATACCCCTTCCTGGGTATTCCCACATATATTATTTCAAAACCCTTGCAATAGAGATACTAATTATTCCCATTTCACAGATGAAGCAAATAAGGCTCAGGGGTTCAATCCAATGTCATATAGTAAAGGGCCGAGGCAAGATTTGAATCCAGGTCTCTCCAATGCTAGAGTCTGTGACTGTTTCATGGTATCTCACACACACACACACACACACACACACACACACACACACATATATATATATTTTTTAATAAATTTTTTATGAGAGACAGAGTCTGGCTATATTGCCCAGCTGGAGGGAAGTGGCTATTCACAGATGTGAGCCCACTACTGACCAGCGCAGGAGTTCCGATCTGATCTGTTTCTGACCTGAGCTTGTTCGCCCCTCCTTAGGCACCCTGGTGGTCCCCTGCTCCCAGGAGGTCACCATATTGATGTCGAGCTTAGCACCAGTAACCTTTCAGTGTCACATTCTACAGCCCAGAACTCCTGGGCTCAAGCAAGCCATCCTCCTGCAGACCTATATGCTTAGTAGACAATGGCTTTAATTTCTAGTTCATAATTTATTAATATTTTCTATATTATGATTTACTACCATTTTAATAACTTTTATTTTCATCAATTGCAAGCCTTACAATTTGTATAAAATAGCTTCAATTTTTAGCCCAGCAATCCTAGTCTGACTTTATCTCATACACATTTTACTATATTCCTGACTATTGTCTATTTTGCTTACAATGTAAGAGTTTAAAATGATAAATGAAATAATTGGACTGTTTTCAAGGAGTGTTGCTGTTCCTCCAGCACACTGCAGTTGTGCTATGTGAGCAACCAGTCATGCATCATTCATAAAGCAAAAGCTGCTGTATCTTGCTGCTCAGTTAATAAGCAACACAAAGCTCATTCATAAATAGAAGATTGGGAATCTAAAAAGTCCATCACATTATACTGGATTTCATGGTTCCTCACTATTCCTTAGTAGGACAAGTCTTATTAAGTTTGATACCAATAAAGTAAAAGTAAGATTAGTCTTCAAATCATACCAGAGGGGATCAGCAGCTTACAAAATACAGAGTCATACACTTAACAATGGAGATGCATTTTGAGAAACGCATCCTTAGGGGATTTTATTATTATGGGAACATCCTGGAGTGTACTTACACAAACCTAACCAGTTGCTTTGCCTCTTCCACCTGTTTACCTTCTGCTCCTCCTTCCTCACTACAGCAATGAAGCCACCCCACAGTCCCCCTTTAAGCACTAATTATACCACCCCCTGGCTTCTCTTGTACCAAACGCATAGTATTTTATCCCATCATGATCCAAACATTATGAAAACACTCATGGGCGCTCTGCTGTTTCTTGGTATCACCTACATTAGCAACTGATATGGCTAGAATGGAGGTGTGGTTTCCCCACAAGCCCCCTCCTAAGTGATTTCCATCTTGGCCAACAGCTCTACTACCTCCCTGGCTTCTTGCTTAGCAAAACTCTAGCAGATGCCTTTGATTCTTCTCTTTCCTTAACATTTGAGAGATACAAATAAAATCTTAAGCCCCTTAATCAACTGGAAATACCCCTCTCTTGGCCAAGAGGATTCCAGAGAAACCTTAAAAACTGAGTTATTGGCCATGACAGATGGGAGGTCAAGTGTGCCTCAGTATGCCCCTTCCTTATCAACCTTTAGCCAAAACTCCTTCGTAAGGAGTAAGCAGAGACCAGCTCTGGAAAACAATAAATAGATGACTTGTTTCTTCATCATTTTTAGCAAACCATCTGAGGCTGCTACAAGATTCCCCTTCCTCTTCACTGCTTCCAGGTGACAGTTCACTCATCACACAATGCATTTCTTTCTAAACAGTGACTGCCATCTCTGGATGTGTTTTGGCTGACTCTCAAAGGATGCAGTGAGGGTTTTGGCATCCTTCACTTTACCTTTTGATGTCAGAGGGCTAAAAAGTCCACCTCAGATCACACTAATGCCATTTTTTAAAATATGCAATCCATGAAAAGCCATTAAGAATTGTTCCTGAACAGGTTTCTCCTCTCATAAATATTTGTAACTCCTCCTATAGCTCATTAAATATGTATATTTTGCCACCCACTCGGCATGCATTTCTGTCTTGCCTTCCATTCCGTCCAAGTGCTTCCTCTCAGCTATGCCTCCCAGCCAGCAGGATGGCCAGCCCTCAGTCAGTAACCCTTCATGAGAAATAAAGTTCTTTCCAAATTTTGAATCCTGTGATTCTTCAGTTGACATCTTCTACTCCAGTCCCTCCACAGGTGCTATCATCCTAAACACAGCCATGTTCCTCGTGTCCACCTGACTCTCAAATGCAAGTCTTCACCAGCCACTTGGCCTCCCTGCCTCCACTCCTTCCCCTGTGCCATCTATTTCTCACAGAGTGTCAGAGTCAGCTTTTAAAGTGAATATCAGAGGATATCATTTTCTGGCTGAAGCTCTCCATAGGCTCTCCATCCCATCTCCAGGAAAAGTCAAGTTTCTTGCTCTGTCTTTTACAAAGGTTCCCATTGTCCAGGTGCTGTGCACCCCTCTTCTCTCCTTTCTGCCACTCTCCCTACCACCTGCTCTTTCCTGCCTGGCTGGTTGGCTGTGGCCCTGTCCTCAGAACATACCATATTCTGTGTCCTTGGCTCAGCTTGGCCTCCCCTGGCATGGGCAGCACCAGCTCCGTTCCTCACTCAGGTCACTACCGAGATGGTGCCTCCCCTGGGAGGCTTCCATGATCTCCATGATCTGCAGGAAGTACACAGTCCCTCGCTATTGTAATTCTCGACATAACCGTAGTATATTTTCAGGGGAGTATACCAGACACATTTATGTGTTACCTGGCAAAACTCTAAATAAATTAAGCCCTATATCCTCAATTTGTCAGACATACCCAGGCTCAGGAGATTACATGTACTGTGGCATGTCACACTACAAGGAGCAGAAAGAACAGCTCCTCTAATATAGAATTGCCAGGGCACACTGGCAGGTCATCATAAGCTGCCCTGGCTCTATAGAGCTCCAGCATTCAGACTAGGAACCAATGCACGCGTGCAGCCATGCTTGTCAGTAATAAACTTCCCTGGACTTATACTAAAACCGTATTTTATTGATATGTCCAGTATGTTTTAAGAAAACAGTCTCAAACTCGGGTCTATCTAATATTACCAGCCACTTAACACTATGTGATAACTTTTTATGCTTTCAGCCCTGGATATTCTTTGAAGAATATTTTCTATAAGGAGTTCTAAAATCCTTCGATCCTCATATTGATACAAAAAAATTAAACACATGAACAAAATCTCTGTGCTTCACACAAAGGTGAGATCCAACCTGTGGCCCCATACAGTCACCAGTGTCATCAAATAGGCCACTACAGTGTAGGGGGATGCAGGGGCAGCTTCAAGCCATGAATGAGACAGCATTACACTCTGTATACACAGTGCCCTAGAATATCTGTGTGAAACAGGTGGAGGAAAAAAAGATGACTAATTTGTGTGTGTGTGTGTGTGTGTGTGTGTGAGAGAGAGAGAGAGAGAGAGAGAAAGACAGAGAGAGGTGAAAGTTTCCATTTGTTGTTGGCATTGTCTTTTAACTTCTTTTTCATAGGCATCAAGAAAATTCCACCCCTAAAGCCAAATTAAATGTCTCATAACCAAAGAGATTAGTAAGTGGTATGCAAGACAGGCTCTGCACGGAAGGTACTCAAGCTGACAACACCTACTAATAGAAATGAGAAAAAGGTTTTGAAGGTCACACACCTCCATCTTCTTAAAAGACTATGGAGTCTCAAAATCAAGCAAACCACACACATACACAAAAACAATTCAGTACAACAAATCTGTTAAATATATTATGTTGGAATTTTAAAAATGTATCAGACAAAAGAAAATCTTCTTTGGCCTGTTTTTTCTTCTTTTCCCAGAGTGGGACACTTTGGCCATCCCTGTGAAACACTTATACACTTAAATGCAGAGGCAAGAACTGTAGCAGATTCCCTCCAACATTGGTCTGAACCACCTCACAGAGTCCACTAATGATATTTATATACTGTAAGTTAACAGGGATGAAGACAGGGATCGAATGGCTCAGATCTAAGAAGCAACATAATTTCTACCCCATTTGGAATATAATGCACTTTCAATCAGATCATTTTTGTGTGGCAGAACTTTGCACTAAAGAAACATCAAATACATGTTGAGGAAAACCACAGATCAGTCTAAAACTGAGTAAAGCAATGAACAACATGTATTAAAACATGCTTCTATTAAACAAAGTAAATCTCAGGGACCATCTTTGGTTTCACTAAGTCCACTCAGGAAGAGACACAGCATGTTCCTAAGGCAATGTAAGGTTCATTTCCTCATGCATAGCTTGACAGAGCACTTATGGCCCATCGCAGAATGTGAGCACCCTTTTATCATCACAGACTCTCAATTCAGAGCTTTGCTAATTTGAAAAAATGTGTTTTAGGTTGTGATTTGGCAGACATAACTTAACCTGGGAGTAATGCTTTAAAACAAATTTCATAACATCTACCATGTCATTTTTAACCAATATCTTTAATATCTTCTGTTTCCACAGAACTTAAATGTAGCTCTGTTTTTACATGCTAAAGACATAGGTCGTTCTTTACCTCTATGGAATATTCACTTTTAGCAATAAAAGGCTCCAACAGGCCAGGTGCGATAGCTCATGCCTGTAATCTCAGCACTTTGGGAGGCCAAGGTGGGTGGATCACGAGGTCAGGAGTTCGAGACCAGCCTGGTCAAGATAGTGAAACCCCGTCTCTACTAAAAATACCAAAATTAGCCAGGCGTGGTGGCAAGCAACTGTAATCTCAGCTACTAGGGACGCTGAGGCAGGAGAATCACTTGAAGCTGGGAGGTGGAGGTTGCAGTGAACTGAGATCGCACCACTGCACTCCAGCCTGGGTGACAGAGCAAGACTCTGTCTCAAAAAAAAAAAAAAACTCCAACTACGAAAAAAAATAGATTTTCCAAATATTTTCTTATTTCTACTCCACAGACTTATGCTCAAAATCAGTATGTCCCACAAGAATAAAGAAAACAATTATTGTGTAAAATGTCATCTAAGTCCCTAACAGGCACTTCTGTCTCTTAGAGGCTTGAGTTAAAAATGGATCAATTTTGAGGATGGTCTGTTGGTCATTAGGACATAAGTACAAATACACATCTGGGGAAAAAATATCTACAGCATTCGTTTTGTCCAGTGAATCACTGGAAAATATTTCATTAAAATACAATCCTGAAATTGATATAGAAATTATTTTAAAATTTAATTGATGTATAATTTTCTTCTATCTAATATTTGTGTGCCAAGTATTCTATTAGGTATTTAAAGATATACAAAAGATAAAAAAGCTCTGTCTCCAATTACAAAGTAAATTGAGCTGTAGGCAACTATATATAAAGTGTTGTGCTACTGATATATATTTGGAAGTTGTTTTTGAAGCCTTGGTATATGACATAAACTAGAGGGAAAGTAAAAAAAATTAAAAATACAAAAAACTTGAAGAGAAAATTCTCCAGCCCAATTTAAGAGATGAGTGATGGAGGAGAATAAACTAATCAAACAGCAGTAAGGAAAGCTAGAAAAGAATTATGCTTCAGAAGCAAAAGAGAAAAAATTTTTAGAAGGAATGAATGGGCAGAAGTAAGTGCTGCCAGGAGAGTGACCATCATGAAGCTTAAGGAGAAGTCACACATTTAAGAAGGAAGATGCAGAAGTGACAGTGACAAAATGCCACAGGAAAAGAGCTAAGGTGCACAAAAACATATACCAAGCCTCAGATAATTGTTCTTTTTTAGAAGAACACTAAACCACCAATGGGCCTCAAGCAAGGGTGAACAGGGTTATGATGAAAGCACATCTCAAAATTTTTTCTAAGAATAGTGAAGTTACTGCTTAAAGAGTTCTATAGCCACAAAATAGAGAAAAGTGTGTGATTTAGAAAAAACACTAGAGGATTTTTCATGCAAGCTTTCATGAAATCTTTCATCTAGGGGATTTTTTCATCCTTTCAATATAAAGATGTAACTTTTTATTAATTTTAATTAATCATTTGTTATACATATGACAAAGGATGAGCAAACAAATTTAACAGCAACTAAAAGACATTAATCTGTATTAGGATGTGGAGAAAAAGCTCGGGGCTGAAACAACAAAAACAAAAATAGTAAAACAAATTACTGTCTGAAGGTGATATACAAATGAAATTTAAATATTTGTGGAGGATGCAAAAAGGATGTTTTTCTTATGTGCTAGAAATTACACTGCTTCTTGGCATAGTCACCGATAGGTCATAGAAAAAAATGCCATATTTAGCTAAAGAAGAGAAGGAAACTTCAGAAATAGTCTTTCCAGATTAATAAAAGAAAAAAGTTTCTTATTTCAATAAAATATTCATCTTTACTAAACTTGCAGGTTTCTATGTACCACAAGGTTGAATAACCGAGCTGCAAAATGTTTGAGAACATTGCATATTCCCAGCCACATCGACTCTCTTGATTAGTGACTGCAGGCAATGTCTATACTTTGTTGCTTCCTCTTCCATTTTAGCTTTTTATGAACTTGATAGAGAAAAAAGGCAAGTCTTTTTATCAGCCAATTTCTGATATTTTATACAAAATATTTATAGGCATCTTTTAGATAAAGTTCTCTAATCAGATAAAATCTGGTGTTACTAAATTCTCGTCAATGTATTGTTTTGGCCCTACCATGAAATTGCAGACAGAATTTTACAACACGTGAAAGCAATTTCACTTTTGTAAAGTTAAAACAAAATTGAAATAGTCGAGCATTCTTACAGAGCAATCATGGCACTCTGTCTTGCTGACCTGTGCTTCCTTTGTTAGGAAGAAGGCTGTTTATCCATTCTGCAAATGCTGGTGGTCCCTAGGGTCTGGGCTCTGTTTCTTTCTGTCTCCTTCCTCCATCTCCATTGGCAGTACCGGTACCATTCTTCTACGACATCAAGTATCACCCAAATGGCAGTAATAGCCAAGTCAGTGTGTTGAAATAAATTTCTAGATTATTTATTACATAAGCAGACCACTGAAACATTTATTCAAAAGTATTCCATTGAGAGTCAAAAACATATTGATATGATTATTATTGGTCTGTTAAAGAAAACAAAATAAAAAGAACAAACTGGGAATTATCAATAAACAAATCAAAACTTAGATGTAATTATAACCTAAAGGGCTCACAGGGCAAATGTGAAGCAAGCTTCTGTCTCAGAGCCTGCATATGGAAGACATGTAGTACTTAGCTTTGTCGTCTTTCTTTCCTCCTCTTGTTTGAGTTTAGTATTAATAAAAGTTGGACTGAGAAAACCTTTTTTTACAATCTTATGGGTTATTTTTAGTGTAAACGTTTTAGAAGTAGAATATACATATAAAAACTGCACAGATCAAATGTGTGCATCTCAAATGGTGTTCCATTTTCAAAATATGAATACATATGGGCAGCATTTATATTTTTAAAAAGTCAGAAGGTGCCTCCTCATGCCCTTTCCACTTCTCACTCATTGTCCCTCAACCCAGGCATAACTACTCTCCTGACCTCCAACATCATAAACTAGTTTCGCAAGCTTTGAAACTTTATCCAAATGAGTCATACAGGATAGATGTTCACAGAGCCTACTTAGATATTATGGATCCTTGCCAGGTATATAAAAAGTGTTGCAGATAAGCCCAACAAACATCTGGGCTGGTGGTGCAGGGGCAAAATAATTTACGAAGACGGTTGTAGATAAAGAAAGGTAGACTTATGAGAGAAAATATAAAAATATGTTGCAAGAAAGCAATGAGCACACCAGCACGAGAGAAGCCAACTGCAATAAAACCAAGTCTTTCTGGATATTTTATAGGTTAGTGTTTATGCTGTGTGCTGAAGAGAGCTTTGTGCAGTACTGACAACACCAAAGTTGCAAGTGAGCTAACCTGCAGGTGCCTGGTGATAAGTTGGGTGCAGGAGGGCTACATGTTCTGAACCATGAAGAAAAGCAGACTTATAGTTTATCTGCTTTCTCTTTTTGCTTTCCCCTGGTTCTGCCAGCCTGACTCCTTTTTCCCAAAAGGACTCCATAAAAAGTGTTCTCGGTCAGCTAGCTGGTCAGCTGTTGTCAACTTGCCTGAGCTGATTATCCTTTTCTTTTTAAATTTGACCCTACAATTAGCAACCAGCAAAACCATGTAAAGCCTATGGAATACTAAGGGGCTGGGGATTAGAAGCTGCCTCATGTTTTTCTCACTATTTTCCAAATGCAAAACCTGGTTGACTAGTCTTTGGCCACAGATCCAGACCCCAGAGGTGGCATGGAGCTAGAACCACCACCATTTGAATGTATGTTCTAAAAGAGAGCAAGGGATTAAGGGCCTGTGATCAGAAGAAAGGGAAATGAATGCAGAGCAAGCAGAAGATGACAAGATGCCAATGCACCCTGCACAAGAGATGTCTTTGCTACTGCTGAGCAAAATGGTAGGGTTTGTCTTCTGAGGACACTGAAAAGTATCTGTGCATTTAAATATGCCCTTCTTTCAGTTTCCACCTTTCATTGAAATCAGGTCGCAACCATTACAGAAGTATTGTGACTCAAAGTTCGCATAGGAGCACAGACAAAAGCAACCTAGATTTCTCTTTAGCCAAAGAAATGCCAAACACTTATGATAGCTGGTTGCTCAAAGTTCATAAAATGGCTGGCAAGATGGCTGAATAGGAACAGCTCCAGTCTGCAGCTCCCAGTGAGACCAATGCAGAAGGTGGGTGATTTCTGCATTTACAATTGAGGTACCCTGTTCATCTCATTGGGACTAGTTAGGCAGTGGGTGCAGCCCATGCAGGGTGAGCAGAAGCAGGATGGAGTGTCACCTCACCCAGGAAGTGCAAGAAGTGGGGGGCCAAGTGGCTGTGGCCAGACTGCCTCTCTAGATTCCTCTTCACCTGGTAGGGCATCTCTGAAAGAAAGGCAGCAGCCCTAGTCAGGAGCTTATAAATAAAACTCCGATCTTACTGGGACAGAGCACCTGGGGGAAGGGGGCAGCTGTGGGCACACCTTCAGCACTCTTAAACATTCCTGCTTGCCAGCTCTGAAGAGAGCAGCAGATCCTGACAAGGAAGGCTCTACCAGCACAGCACTAGAACTCTGCTAAGGGACAGACTGCCTCCTCAAGTTGATCACTGACCCCCATGCCCCCTGACTGGGAGAGACCTCCCCTACAGGGGTTGACAGACACCTCATACAGGAGAGCTCTGGCTGGCATCAGGCTGGTGCCCCTCTGGGATGAAGCTTTCAGAGGAAGGAGTAGGCAGCAATCTTTGCTGTTCTGCAGCCTCTGCTGGTGATACCCAAGCAAATAGCATCTGGAGTGGATATCCAGGAGACTGCAGGAGATCTGCAGAAGAGGGCCCTGACAGTGAGAAGAAAAACTAACAAACAGAAAGCAATAATATCAACATCAACAAAAAGAACTGCCACATAGAAACCCCATTCAAAGGTAATCAGCCTCAAAGATCAAAGGTAGATAAACCCATGAAGGGAAAACCAGCACCCAAATCCTGAAAATTCCAAAAACCAGAGTGCCAATTCTCCTCCAAATGATTACAACTCCTCTCCAGCAAGGACACAAAACTGGACAGAGAATGAGTTTGAGAAATTGACAGAAGGAGGCTTCAGAAGGTAGGTGATAACAAACTCCTCTGAGCTAAAGGAGCACCTTCTAACCCAATGCAAGGAAGCCAAAAACCTTGACAAAAGGTATAGGAATGGCTAAGTAGAATAACCAGTTTAAAGAAGAACATAAATGACCTGACGGAGTTGAAAAACACAGCATGAGAATGTCGTGAAGCATACATAAGTATCAATAGCTGAATCTATCAAGCAGAAGAAAGGATATCAGAGATTGAAGATCAACTTACTGAAATAAGATGTGGAGACAAGATTAGAGAAACAAGATTGAAAAGGAACAAAAAAAGCCTCCAAGAAATATGGGACTGGACCAAACTTACAACTGATTGGGGTCCCTGACAGTGATGAGGAGAGAGTTGGAAAATGCACATCAGAATATTATCTAGGAAAACTTCCCCAACCTAGGAAGACAGGCCAACATTCAAATTCTAGAAATACATAGAACACCACTAAGATACTCCTTGAGAAGAACAACCCCAAGACACATAATCTTCAGATTCTCCAAGGTTGAAATGATGGAAAAAATGTTAAGGGCAACCAGAGAGAAAGGTTGGATTACCTACAAAGGGAAGACCATCAGACTACCAACAGATACTCTGCAGAAACCCTAAAAGCCAGAAGACAGTGGGGGCCAATATTCAAAATTCTTAAAGAATTTTCAACCCAGAATTTCATATCCCGCCAAACTAAGTTTCATAAGTGAAGGAGAAACAAAATCCTTTCCAGACAAGCAAATGCTGAGGGATTTTGTTTCCACCAGGCCTGCCTTACAAGAGCTCCTGAAGGATGCACTAAATATGGAAAGGAAAAACTGGTTCCAGCCGCTGTAAAAATACACCAAAATATAAAGACCAATGGCACCATGAAGAAACTGCATCAACAAATGTACAAAATAACCAGCTAGCATCATGATGACAGGATCAAATTCATACATAACAATTTTAACCTTAAATGTAAATGTGCTAAATGCCCCAATTAAAAGACACAGACTGGCAAATTGGATAAAGAGTCAAGATCCATCAGTGTGCTGTATTCAGGAGACCCACCTCATGTGCAAAGACACACATAGGCTCATAAGAAAGGGATGGAGGAACATATACCAAGCAAATGGAAAGCAAAAAAAAAGCAGGGGTTGGAATCCTAGTCTCTTATAAAACAGACTTCAAACAAACAAAGATCAAAAGAGACAGAGTAGGGCATTACATAATGGTAAAGGGATCAATGCAACAACAAGAGCTAACTATCCTAAATATATATGCACCCAACACAGGGGCACCCAGATTCATAAAGCAAGTTCTAAGAGACCTACAAAGACACTTAGACTCCCACAAAATAATAGTGGGAGACTTTAATACCCCACTGTCAATATTAGACAGATCAACAAGACAGAAAATTAACAAGGATATTCAGGACTTTAACTCAGCTCTGCACCAAGTGGACCTAATAGACATCTACAGAACTCTCCACCCCAAATCAACAAAATATACATTTTTCTCAGCAACACATAGCATGTATTCTAAAATCAACCACACAATTGGAAGTAAAACACTCCTTGGCAAATGCAAAAGAACAAAAATTATAACAGTCTCTAAGACCACAGTGCAATCAAATTAGAACTCAAGATTAAGAAACTCACTCAAAACTACACAACTACATGGAAACTGAACAACCTGCTCTTGAATGACTACTGGGTAAAAAACAAAATTAAGGCAGAAATAAGTAAGTTATTGAAATCAATGAGAATAAAGACACAATGTATCTGAACCTCTGGGACACAGCTAAAGAAGTGTTTAGAGGGAAATTTATAGCACTAAATGCCCACGTCAGAAAGTGAGAAAGATCTAAATTCGATACCCTAACATCACAATTAAAAGAACTAGACAAGCAAGAGCAAGCAAATTCAAAAGCTAGCAGAAGACAAGAAATAACTAAGATCAGAGCAGAACTGAAAGAGATACAGACACAGAAAACCATTCAAAAAACAGAACAGAGCCCTCAGAAATAACACCACACATCTACAACTATCTGATCTTTGACAAATCTGACAAAAACAAGAAATGGGGAAAGGATTCCCTATTTAATAAATGGTGCTTGGAAAACTGGCTAGCCATATGTAGAAAGCTGAAACTGGATCCCTTCCTTACACCTTATACAAAAATTAATTCAAGATGGATCAAATACTTAAATGTTAGACCTAAAACCATAAAAACCCTAGAAGAAAACCTAGGCAATACCATTCAGGACACAGGCATGGGCAAGGACTTCATGTCTAAAACACCAAAAGCAATGACAACAAAAGCCAAAATTGACAAATGGGATCTAATTAAACTAAAGAGCCTCTGCACAGCAAAAGAAACTATCATCAGAGTGAATAGGCAACCTATAGAACGGGAGAAAATTTTTGCAATCTACTCATCTGACAAAGGGCTAATATCCAGAATCTACAAAGAACTCAAACAAATTTACAAGAAAAAAACAACAACCCCATCAAAAAGTGGGCAAAGGATATTGAGAAGTGACAATGTGCTAGCAGCTCTCACTCGCTCTCAGCACCTCCTCGGCCTCAGTGTCCACTCTGGCCACACTTGAGGAGCCCTTCAGCCTGCTGCTGCACTGTGGGAGCCCCTCTCTGGGTTAGCCAAGGCTGGAGCTGGCTCCCTCTGCTTGTGGGGAGGTGTGGAGGGAGAGGCACAGGCGGGAACCAGGGCTGCATGTGGCGCTCACGGGCCAGGGCGAGTTCCAGGTGGGCATGGGCTGGGCTGGCCCCACACACAGAATGGCCGGCCGGTGCCACCGGCCCCAGGCAGTGAGGGGCTTAGCACCCAGGCCAGCAGCTGTGGAGGGTGTGCAGTGTCCCCTAGCAGTGCCGAACCACTGGTGCCGCGCTCGAATTCTGGCCAGGCCTCAGCTGCCTCCCTGTGGGGCAGGGCTTGGGACTTGCAGCCCGCCATGCCTGAGCCACTCCCTGGCTGTGGGCTCCTGCACAGCCCAAGCCTCCCCGATGGGCACCGCACCCTGCTCCACGGCGGCCAGTCCCATCGACCGTCCAAGGGCTAAAGAGTGCGGGCACACAGCACGGGACTGGCAGGCAGCTCCGCCCGCAGCCCTGGTGTGGGATCCACTAGGCAAAGCCAGCTGGGCTCCTGAGTTGGGTGGGGACTTGGAGAACTTTTATGTCTAGCCAGAGGATTGTATATGCACCAATCAGCACTCTGGGTCTAGCTCAGGGTTCATGGATGCACCAATCAGCACTCTGTATCTAGCTAATCTGGTGGGGACTTGGAGAACTTTTACGTCTAGCTAAAGGATTGTAAATGCACCAATCAGCACTCTGTGTCTAGCTCCAGGTTTGTAAATGCATCAATCAGTGCTCTGTGTCTAGCTAATCTAGTGGGGACTTGGAGAACTTTTATGTCTAGCTAGAGGATTATAAATACACCAATCAGCACTCTGTGTCTAGTTCAGGGATTGTAAATGCACCAATCAGCACCCTGTCAAAACAGAAGAATCAGCTCTCTGCAAAATGGCCCAATCAGCTCTCCGTAAAATGGACCAATCGGCTCTCTGTAAAAGGACCAATCAGCAGGATGTGGGTGGGGCCAGATAAGGGAATAAAAGCATGCTACCAGAGCCAACAGCAGCAACCCGCTCGGGTCCCCTTCCACACTGTGGAAGCTTTGTTCTTTCGGTCTTTGCAATAAATCTTGCTGCTGCTCACTCTTTGGGTCCACACTGCCTTTATGCACTGTAACACTCACCACGAAGGTCTGCAGCTTCACTCCTGAGGCCAGTGAGACCACAAACCCACTGGGAGGAATGAACAACTCCAGACAGGAGGAATGAACAAGTCCAGACATGCTGCCTTAAGAGTGTAACACTCACTGTGAAGGTCTGCGGCTTCAATCCTGAAGCCAGTGAGACCATGAATCCACCAGAAGGAAGAAACTCCAAACACGTCCGAACATCAGAAGGAACAAGCTCCAGACACACCATCTTTAAGAACTGTAACACTCACCACAAGGGTCTGCGGCTTCATTCTTGAAGTCAGACCCAAGAACTCACAATTTTGGGCATATTTTGGCAAGCCAGATGGGACTGTCACCTGTCGCCAAGAGGTGAGACTATCACCAAATGGTGAGACCATCGCCTATCGCCAAGTGGTGAGGCCATTGCCTATCACCGAGCGGTACCATTGGACCCCTTTCTCTTGCTATTCTGTCCTATTTTTCCTTAGAATTTGGGGGCTAAATACCATGCACCTGTCAGCCAGTTAAAAGCGACTAGCACAGCTGCCAGAGTAAAGACACAGGTGTCAGGCTTTCTGGGAAAGGGCTCTCTAACAACCTCTGACTCTTCAGAGTTGGGAGCATTGGTTTGCCTGGAACCAGCTTTCACTTTTCCTTTACTTCTGGGCTGAGCCGAGGGTCGACAGAGAGGAAAGCCATTTAGCTCTGGGGTCCCAACAGCAAGTTGGTTGACCCTGCAGCCAAGAGTGGAACTCTCAAAGGCATGTCACCCAAGTGAGACTCACCCATCTATCCTATCTATCTCGACCCTTGCCCCCTGGGTCCTAATGCCTGCCAGACAAACTTCCTCTTGCCTCTCTTCTCCAAGGCTAGCCCCGCTTCTAAAAATCACTCCCTGTCTCTAGTGGTTTTCTAGTTTTTCCTGTAAGAATGATTTCTAGTATAAACTCCAGGACTCTGTTACCTTTTTTAGGCAACCTGGCTCACCAAGCAGAATGACATATTTTTTGCCCAAAGCCCCATTGTAGGGGGGAATATCTGTAATTTTAGGATCCCTCCTCAGACTAACAGGCCTAATAAAAGCTATTCCTGAAGCTAGGATATGTGGAACCTCAGAAATGGTATCCTTCCTATTCAAGTGAGGACAAAAGGTATCGCTCTTCCAACACTAGAGATCCCTCCCCTCCCTCAGGGTATGGCCCTCCACTTCATTTTTGGTACATAACATCTTTATAGGACAGGGGTAAAATCCCAATACTAACAGGAGAATGCTTAGGACTCTAACAGGTTTTTGAGAATGTGTTGGTAAGGGCCACTCAATCCAATTTTTCTTGGTCCTCCTTGTGGTCTAGGAGGACAGGCAAGGGTGCAGATTTTCAAGAATGCATCAGTAAGGGCCACTAAATCCGACCTTCCTCGTTCCTCCTTGTGGTCTGGGAGGAAAACTAGTGTTTCTGTTGCTGTGTCAGTGAGCACAACTATTCCGATCAGCAGGGTCCAGGGACCACTGCAGGTTCTTGGGCAGGGGGAGAAACAAAACAAACCAAAACCATGGGCAGTTTTGTCTTTCAGATGGGAAACACTCAGGCATCAACAGGCTCACCTTTGAAATGCATCCTAAGCCAATGGGACAAATTTGACCCACAAACCCTGGAAAAAGAGGTGGCTCATTTTTTTTCTGCACTATGGCTTGGCCCCAACATTCTCTCTCTGATGGGGAAAAATGGCCACCTGAGGGAAGTACAGATTACAATACTATCCTGCAGCTTGACCTTTTCTGTAAGAGGGAAGGCAAATGGAGTGAAATACCTTATGTCCAAGCTTTCTTTTCATTGAAGGAGAATACACTATGCAAAGCTTGAAATTTACATCCCACAGGAGGACCTCTCAGCTTACCCCCATATCCTAGCCTCCCTATAGCTCCCCTTCCTATTAGTGATAAGCCTCCTCTAATCACCCCCACCCAGAAGAAAATAAGCAAAGAAATCTCCAAAGGACCACAAAAAAACCCCAGGCTATTGGTTATGTCCCCTTCAAGCTGTAGGGGGAGGGGAATTTGGCCCAACTCGGGTACGTGTCCCCTTCTCCCTCTCTGATTTAAAGCAGATCAAGGCAGACCTGGGGAAGTTTTCAAACGATCCTGATAGGCACACAGATGTCCTAAAGGGTCTAGGGGAAACCTTCGACCTTGCTTGGAGAGATGTCATGCTATTGTTAGATCAAACTCTGGCCTTTAATGAAAAGAATGTGCCTTTAGCTGCAGTCCGAGAGTTTGGAGATACCTGGTATCTTAGTCAAGTAAATGATAGAATGACAGCTGAAGAAAGGGACAAATTCTCTACCGGTCAGCAAGCCATCCCCAGTATGGATCCCCACTGGGACCTTGACTCAGATCATGGGGACTGGAGTTGTAAACATCTGTTGATCTGTGTTCTAGACGGAGTAAGGAGAATTAGAAAAAAGCCCATGAATTATTCAATGATGTCCACCATAACTCAGGGAAAGGAAGAAAATCCTTTGGCCTTCCTTGAGTGGCTACAGGAGGCCTTAAGAAAATATACTTCCCAGTCAATTGATTCTAAAAGATAAGTTTATTACCCAATCAGCCACAGATATCAGGAGAAAGCTCTAAAAGCAAGCCCTGGGCCCTTAACAAAATTTGGAGGCATTATTAAACCTGGCAACCTCAGTGTTCTGTAACAGGGATCAAGAGGAACAGGCCCAAAAGGAAAAGCGGGATCAGAGAAAGGCCACAGACTTAGTCATGGCCCTCAGACAAGCAAACCTTGGTGGTTCAGAGAGAACAGAAAATGGAGCAGGCCAATTACCCGGTAGGGCTTGTTATCAGTGTGGTTTACTAGGACACTTTAAAAAAGATTGTCCAACGAGAAACAAGCTGCCCCCTCATCCATGTCCAGTATGCCGAGGCAATCACTGGAAGGTGCACTGCCCCAGAGGAAAAAGGTCCTCTGGGTCAGAAGCCCCCAACCAGATGATCCAACAACAGGATTGAGGGTGCCTGGGACAAGCGTGAGCTCATGTCAACACCCTCACTGAGCTCAAAGTACGTTTAACCATTGAGGGCCAGAAAATTGACTTCCTCCTGGACACTGGCGTGGCCTTCTCAGTGTTAATCTCCTGTCCTGGATGACTGTCCTCAAGGCCCATTACTATCTAAGGAATCCTGGGACAGCCTGTAACCAGGTATTTCTCCCACCTCCTAGTTGTAATTGGGAGACTTTGCTCTTTTCACATGCTTTTCTTGTTATGCCTGAAAGTCCCACACCTTTATTAGGGGGGGATATATTAGCCAAGGCTGGAGCTATTATCTACAGGAATGTGGGGAACAAGTTACCCATTTGTTGTCCCCTACTTGAGGAGGGAATCAACCCTGAAGTCTGGGCATTGGAAGGACAATTTGGAAGGGCAAAAAATGCCCGCCCAGTCCAAATCAGGTTAAAAGATCCCACCACTTTTCCTTATCAAAGTCAATATCTCTTAAGGCTTGAAGCTCATAAAGGATTACAGGATATTGTTAAACATTTAAAAGCTCAAGGCTTAGTAAGGAAATGCAGCAGTCCCTGCAACACCCCAATTCTAGGAGTACAAAAACCAAACCATCAGTGGAGACTAGTGTAAGATCTTAGACTCATCAATAAGGCAGTAATTCCTCTATATCCAGTTGTACCCAACCCCTATACCCTGCTCTCTCAAATACCAAAGGAAGCAGAATGGTTCATGGTTTTGGACCTCAAGGATGCCTTCTTCTGTATTCCCCTGCATTCTGACTCCCAGTTTCTCTTTGCCTTTGAGGATCCCACAGATCACATGTCCCAACTTACATGGATGGTCTTGCCCCAAGGGTTTAGGGATAGCCCTCACCTGTTTTGTGAGGCACTGGCACAAGATCTCGGCCACTTCTCAAGTCCAGGCACTCTGGTGCTTCAGTATGTGGATGATTTACTTTTGGCTACCAGTTCGGAAGCATCATGCCAGCAGGCTACTCTAGATCTCTTGAACTTTCTAGCTAATCAAGGGTACAAGGTGTCTAGGTCGAAGGCCCAGCTTTGCCAACAGCAGGTCAAATATCTAGGCCTAATCTTAGCCAGAGGGACCAGGGCTCTTAGCAAGAATGAATACAACCTATACTGGCTTATCCTCACCCTAAGACATTAAAACAGTTGTGGAGGTTCCTTGGAATCACAGGCTTTTGCCAACTATGGATCCCCAGATACAGCGAGATAGCCAGGCCCCTCTATACTCTAATCAAGGAGACCCAGAGAGCAAATACTCATCTAATAGAATGGGAATAAGATGCAAAAACAGCCTTCAAAACCTTAAAGCAGGCCCTAGTACAAGCTCCAGCTTTAAGCCTTCCCACAGTACAAAACTTTTCTTTATACATCACAGAGAGAGCAGGGATAGCTCTTGGGAGTCCTTACTCAGACTTGTGGGACAACCCCACAACCAGTGGCATACCTAAGTAAGGAAATTGATGTACTATCAAAAGGCTGGCCTCACTGTTTAAGGGTAGTTGCGGTGGTGGCCATCTTAGTGTCAGAGGCTATCAAGATAATGCAAGGAAAGGATCTCACTGTCTGGACTACTCATGATGTAAATGGCATACTAGGTGCCAAAGGAAGTTTATGGCTATCAGACAACCACCTACTTAGATACCAGGTGCTACTCCTTGAGGCGGTGCTTCAAATATGCATGTGCGTGGCCCTCAACCCTGCCACTTTTGTCTCAGAGGATGGGGAACCAATTGAGCATGACTGCCAAAAAATTATAGTCTAGACTTATGCCACCCAAGATTATCTCTTAGAAGTCCCCTTAGCTAATCCTGACCTTAACCTATATACCGATGGAAGTTCATTCCTGGAGAATGGGATATGAAGGGCAGGTTACACCATAGTTAGTGATGTAACTGTACTTGAAAGTAAGCCTCTTCCCCCAGGGACCAGTGCCCAGTTAGAAGAACTAGTGGCACTTACCCGTGCCTTAGAACTGGGAAAGGGAAAAAGAATAAATGTGTATACAGATAGCAAGTATGCTTATCTAATCCTACATGCCCATGCTGCAATATGGAAAGAAAGGGAATTCCTAACCTCTGGGGGAACTGCCATTAAATACCACAAGGAAATTATAGAGTTATTGCATGCAGTGCAAAAAGCCAAGGAGGTGGCAGTCTTACACTGCCACAGCCATCAGAAAGGTGAAGGAAGAAAGGCAGAAGGAAACCATCAGGCAGATGCTGAGGCCAAAATTGCTGCTAGGTGGAACCCCCCATTAGAAATACCTACGGAAGGACCCTTGGTATGGATCGACCCCCTCCAAGAGATTAAGCCCCAGTATTCCCTGACTGAAGCAGAATGGGGACTTTCACGGGGCATAGTTTTCTCCCCTTGGGGTGGTTGGTGATATAAGAAGGAAAGGTACTTATACCCAAAGCCAGCCAGTGGAAAATACTTAAAACCCTCCACCAAACTTCTCATATGGGTATTGAAAATACTCATCAAATGGCCAAATCCCTATCTACAGGGCCAAGTCTCCTCTGGACCATCCAACACGTAGTCAAAGCCTATGAGGTGTGCCAAAAGAATAATCCCTTGGTTCATCGTAAGGCCCCTCTGGGGAAACAAAGAAGAGGTCACTATCCCTGAGAGGTCTGGCAGTTAGACTTCACCCATATGCCTAAGTCAAAGGGATTTCAATATTTGTTGGTCTGTGTTGATACCTTTACAAATTGGATATAAGCTTTCCCCTGCAAGACAGAGAAGGCTCAGGAAGTGATTAAAGTCCTAATTCATGAAATAATTCCTAGATTTGGGCTTCCCCAAAGCTTACAGAGTGACAATGGTCTGGCTTTTAAAGCCATGATAAATCAGGGAATTTCCAGGGTGCTAGGGATACAATATCACCTTCACTGCTCCTGGAGGCCACAATCTTCAGGGAAGGTTGAGAAGGCAAATGAAACACTCAAGAGGCACTTAAGGAAACTAACACAAGAAATTCATCTCCCATGGCCTACTCTTTTGCCCATGGCCCTGTTGAGAATCCGAAATTCTCCTCACAAAATAGAGCTCAGTCCAAATGAAATGCTGTATGGACGACCTTTTCTCACAAATGACCTCTTACTTGATCAGGAAATGGCCAACTTGGTCAAATATATAATTTCTTTGGCAAAACATCAACAAAACCTTTAAAACCTACCTGAAGGATGTCACAGAAAAAAGGGAACAGAGTTGTTTCAACCAGGAGATCTAGTGTTGGTCAAATATCTCCCCTTTACCTCCCCATCTATGGACTCTTTATGGGAAGGACCATACTCGGTAATCCTCTCTACTCCCACTGCAGTTAAGGTGGCAGGAGTGGAATCTTGGATTCGCCACACCCGAGTTAAACTTTGGACATCCCCTGAGGAACCTGCAGGACCATCAACTCAGGAGTCCCAAGATCAGCCAGACCAGCCTCGATACACCTGCAAACTGTTGAAGGAATTGCACCTCCTGTTTCAGAAGGAAACATCCCAGACTAAAAAGGCTCCTACCACTGATCCTGAGGAAAGACCCCTTCCTCCTTAAAAAAGATAAGTGAAAACAGCATACTAACCATACTCTTTGTGATAGGACTATATACTGTAGCTCCTGCCAGGATGAAAATCCTAATCACATCAACCTTCTATCTTCCTTCCTTTTGACAGCAATTTACTCCTACCTTTAACTCAGACTAGATAAAATGATCTCGTTTTCCAGAGCACCCTCTTTACCTTCCTATTTGCTCTTTGCTTGTGTATCCCTCCTGCTTCCTTGGATACCTCACACAATCACCCCTCCCCTTCCACTAGCTCCTAATTACCTCTACAAGACTCTCAACTTAACTCACTCTCTGTTAAACCAGTCCAATCCTTCCCTGGCAAATGACTATTGCCTTTGTATCTCTCTATCAACCTCTGCCTACGTTGCCACTCCCATTCCCGCAAAAAACTGGGTCTTTACCAACTTAACCTACTACCCTCGTTATGAAGGAAAAGACCCTTTCTGACTTTAAATATGCAATCATTAGCCGACTTCCCCATATCTGATAGGACCAAGAATACCATAACAGGATGTGCAATCCAACTTTTAGGTTCTTACATTTCCAATCTCACCTATTACACAAGCAATGAAAAGCCCATACAAGGCCCTGTAACCACAAATACTATCTTACCTTTCCAAGCCCCTTTATGCATCCAATGCAACCTGTTATCAGGTCTGCCCCTGGGGCACCTACTACCTCATCAGTGTAATTACACCCTATTGCTTCAAGCCCCAACTGATCATAGTAACTTCTGAGTCACCCAAACAGCTCCATTCAGATGGCTTGTCCGCTTCTCAGGGCCCCCCAAAATCATCATCTCCTCCCTGCTTAACAAATAGTCCAGGTTTTGTAATGGCAAACATACTCCCTGCATGACCATTCACCCCTGGACCCCCTGCAGCAGTGCCCCCACCACTAGTGAATGCCTTCTCATCCCCTCTTTCAATCACTCTCTCGAATGGTTCCTAGTGGATACGAAATGTTTTTTTCTCCAATGGGAAAACAGAACACAGGGAGCCACTCAGTTTGCTCCCAATACCCCTTTCCAGTCACTCACTGGAGCTACCTTGGCAAGTGCTATAGGAGTATGGGAAAATGAAAACAACAAACTCACACACTTTTTTAACATACATAACCAGTTATGTCTACCCAGCCAAGGTATATTCTTATGTGGAACATCGACCTATATCTGCCTCCCCACTAACTGGACAGGCACCTGCACCTTAGTCTTTCTAAGTCCCAAAATTAACATTGCCCCAGGAAATCAGACCTTATCAGTACCCCTCAAAGCTCAAGTCCCTCAGTGCAGAGCCATACAACTAATAACCCTACTTATAGGGTTAGGAATGGCTACTGCTACAGGAACTGGAATAGCTGGTTTATCTACTTCATTATTCTACTACCACACACACTCAAAGGATTTCTCAGTTTGCAAGAAATAACAAAATCTATCCTTACTTTACAATCCCAAATAGACTCTTTAGCAGCAATGACTCTCCAAAACCTCTGAGGCCTAGACCTCCTCACTGCTGAGAAAGGAGGACTTTGCACCTTCTTAGGGGAAGAGTATTGTTTTTACACTAACCAATCAAGGATAGTATGAGATGCCGCCCAGCATTTACAGGAAAAGGCTTCTGAAATCAGGCAATGCCTTTCAAACTCATACCAACCTCTGGAGTTGGGCAACATGGCTTCTCCCCTTTCTAGGTCCCATGGCAGCCATCTTACTGTTACTCACCTTTGGGCCCTGTGTTTTTAACCTTCTTGTCAAATTTTTTTCCTCCAGAATCGAGGCCATCAAGCTACAGATGGTCTTACAAATGGAAACTCAAATGAGTTCAATTAACAACTTCTAATGAGGACCCTGTACCGACCTGCTGGCACTTTCACTGGTCTAGAGGGCTCCCCTCTGGAGGACACTAAAACTGCAGGGCCTCTTCATTGCCCCTATGCAGCAGGAAGTAGCTAGAGTGGTCACTGGCCAAATTCCCAACAGCAGTTGGAGTGTCCTGTTTAGAGCGGGGATTGAGAGGTGACAGCATGCAAGCAGCCCTTGCTCACTCTTAGCACCTCCTCAGCCTTGGCATCTGCTCTGGTCATGCTTGAGGAGCCCTTCAGCCCACCACTGCACTGTGGGAGGCCCTATCTGGGCTGGCCGAGCCTGGAGCTGGCTCCCTCTGCTTGCAGGGAAGTGTGGAGGGAGAGGTGCAGGCATGAACCAGGGCTGCATGCGGCGCTCGCAGGCCAGCATGAGTTCTGGGTGGGTGCGGGCTCAGCAGGCCCTGCACTCGGAGCAGCTGTCCAGTGCTGCCGGCCCTGGGCAGTGAGGGGCTTACCACCTGGGCCAGCAGCTGCAGAGGGTGTGCCAGGTCCTCCAGCAGTGCTGGCCTGCCGGCGCCATGCTTGATTTCTTGCCGAGCCTCAGCTGCCTCCCCATGGGGCAGGGCTGAGAACCTGCAGCCTGCCATGCCTGAACCTCCCCCTTGCCATGGGCTCCCATGCGGCCTGAGCCTTCCCAACGGGTGTCGCCCCCTGCTCTGCAGTGCCCAGTCCTATCGACCGCCCAAGGGCTGAGGAGTGCAGGCGCATGGCAAGGGACTGCCAGGCAGCTCCGCCCACAGCCCTGGTGCAGGATTCACTAGGTGAAGCCAGCTGGGCTCCTGAGTTGGGTGGGGACTTGGAGAACTTTTATGTCTAGCCAGAGGATTGTATATGCACCAATCAGCACTCTGTGTCTAGCTCGGGTTTTGTGGATGCACCAATCAGCACTCTGTATCTAGCTAATCTGGTGGGGACTTGGAGAACTTTTATATCTACCTAAAGGATTGTAAATGCACCAATCAGCACTCTGTGTCTAGCTCAATGTTTGTAAATACACCAATCAGCACCCTGTCAAAACAGACCAATCAGCTCTCTGTAAAATGGATCAGTTGGCGCTCTGTAAAATGGAACAATCAGCTCTCTATAAAATGGACCAATCAGGAGGACGTGGGTGGGGTCAGATAAGGGAATAAAAGCAGGCTGCTGGAGCCAGCAGCAGCAACCCACTCAGGTCCCCTTCCATACTGTGGAAGCTTTGTTCTTTTGCTCTTTGCAATACATCTTGCTGCTGCTCACTCTTTGGGCCCGCACTGCCCTTATGAGCTGTAATGCTCACCACGAAGGTCTGCAGCTTCACTCCTGAGGCCAGCAAGACCACGAACCCACTGGGAGGAATGAACAACTCCGGACGGGAGGAACAAACAACTCCAGACGCGCCGCCTTAAGAGCTGTAACACTCACCGCAAAGGTCTGCGGCTTCACTCCTGAAGCCAGTGAGACCACAAACCTACCAGAAGGAAGAAACTCCAAACACGTCCAAACTCCAAACATTGGAAGGAACAAACTCGGGACACATCATCTTCAAGAACTGTAACACTCAGCACGAGGGTCCATGGCTTCATTCTTGAAGTCAATGAGACCAAGAACCCACCAATTTTGGACACAATATGAATAGACACTTCTCAAAAGAAGACATTTATGCAGCCAAAAGACACATGAAAAAATGCTCATCATCACTGGCCATCAGAGAAATGCAAATCAAAACCACAATGAGATACCCTCTCACACCAGTTAGAATGGCAATCATTAAAAAGTCAGGAAACAACAGGTGCTGGAGACGATGTGGAGAATAAGGAACACTTTTACACTGTAGGTGGGACTGTAAACTAGTTCAACCATTGTGGAAGACAGTGTGGCAATTCCTCAAGGACCTATAACTAGAAATACCATTTGACCCAGCAATCCCATTAGTGGGTATATACCCAAAGGATTATAAAACATGCTGCTATAAAGACACATGCACACGCATGTTTATTGCGGCACTATTCACAATAGCAAAGACTTGGAACCAACCCAAATGTCCATCAATGATAGACTGGATTAACAAAAAATCAATGACTCCAGGAGCCGTTTTTATGAAAAGATTAACAAAATAGACCACTAGCCAGACTCATAAAGAAAAAAAGACAGGAGAATCAAATAGACACAATAAAAAATGATAAAGGGGATATCACCACTGATTTCACAGAAATACAAACTACCATCAAAAAATACTATAAACATGTCTATGCTAATAAACTAGGAAATCTAGAAGAAATGGATAAATTCCTGGACACATACACCCTCCCAAGACTAAACAAGGAAGAAGTCAAATCCCTGAATAGACCAATAACAATTTCTGAAATTGAGGCAGTAATTAATAGCCTACCAACCAAAAAAAGTCCAGGAGCAGATGGATTCACAGCTGGCTTCTACCAGAGGTACAAAGAGGATCTGGTACCATTCCTTTTGAAACTATTCCAAACAACAGAAAAAGAGGGACACCTCCCTAACTCATTTCATGAGGCCAGAATCATTCTCATTCCAAAACCTGGCAGAGACACAATAAAAAAAGAAAATTTCAGGCCAATATCCCTGATGAACATTGAGATGAAAATCCTCAATTAAATACTGGCAAAATGAATCCAGCAGTACATCAAAAAGCTTATCCACCACGATCAAGTTGGCTTCATCCCTGAGATGCAAGACTGGTTCAACATACACAAATCAATAAACATAATCCATTACATAAAAAGAACCAATGACAAAAACCACATGATTATCTGAATAGATGCAGTAAAGGCCTTCAATAAAATTCAACACTGCTTCACGCTAAAAACTCTCAATAAACTAGGTATTGATGGAACATATCTCAAAGTAGTAAGAGCTATTTCTGTTAAGCACATAGCCAATATCATACTGAATGGGTAAAAGCTGGAAGCATTCCTTTCAAAACCGGCATAAGACAAGTTTGCCCTCTCTCACCACTCCTATTCAACATAGTATTGGAAGATCTGGCCAGACCAATCAGGCAACCGAAAGAAATAAAGGTATTCAAATAGGAAGAGAACAAGTGAAATTGTCTCTGTTTGCAGACAACAAGATTGTATATTTAGAAAATCCCACTATCTCAGCCCAAAAACTCCTTAAGCTGATAAAGCAATTTCAGCAAAGTCTCAGGATACAAAATAAATGTGCAAAAATCACAAGCATTCCTATATGCCAAAAATAGACAAGCAGAGATCCAAATCATTTGTGAACTCCTATTCACAATTGCTACAAAGAGAATAAAATACCTAGGAATACAACTTACAAGGGACATGAAGGACCTCTTAAAAGACAACCACAAACCACTGCTCAAGGAAATAAGAGAGGACACAAACAAATGGAAAAACATTCCATGCTCATGGAGAGGAAGAATCAATATCATGAAAATGGCCATATGGTCCAAAGTAATTTATAGATACAATGCTATTCCCATCAAGGTACCATTGACTTTCTTCATAGAACTAGAGAAAAACCTACTTTAAATTTCATATGGAACCAAAAAAGAGCCCGTATAGCCAAGACAATCCTAAGCAAAAAAGAACAAACCTAGAGGCATCAAGCTACCTGACTTCAAACTATACTTCATGGGTTCAGTAACCAAAACAACATGGTACTGGGACCAAAACAGGTGTATAGACCAATGGAACACAACAGAGGCCTTAGAAATAACATCACACCTTTACAACCATCTGATCTTTGGCAAACCTGACAAAAACAAGCAATGGGGAAAGGATTCCCTATTTAATAAATGGTGCTGGGAAAACCGGCTAGCCATATGCAGAAAACAGAAACTGGATCCCTTCCTTATACTTTATTTAAAAAAAATTAACTCAAGATGGAATAAAAACTTAAATGTAAAACCTAAAACCATAAAAACCCTACAAGAAAACCTAGGCAATACCATTCAGGACATAGGCATGGGCAAAGACTTCATGACTAAAACACCAAAAGCAATTGCAATAAAAGCCAAAATTGACAAATGGGATTTAATTAAACTAAAGAGCTTCTGAACAGCAAAAGAAACTATCATCAGAATGAACAGGTAACCTACAGAATGAGAGAAAAATGTTGCAATCTACCCATCTGACAAAGGTCTAATATCCAGAATCTACAAGGAACCTAAACAAATTTACAAGAAAAAAATCAAACAAACCCATCAAAAACTGGATGAAGGATATGAACAGACACTTCTCAAGAGAAGATGTTTATGCATCCAACAAACATATGAAAAAAAGCTCGTCATCACTGGTCATTAGAGAAATGCAAATCAAAACCAAAATGAGATACCATCTCATGCCAGTTAGAATGGCAATCATTAAAAAGTCTGGAAACAACAGATGCTGGAGAGGCTGTGGAGAAACAGGAATGCTTTTACACTGTTGGTGGGAGTGTAAATTAGTTCAACCATTGTGGAAGACAGTGTGGCGATTCCTCAAGGATCTAGAACCAGAAACACCATTTGACTTTTCATAGTGTACATAAAAAATAAACACTGTTGTTTGAAACCTGCTTTACCATAGGGAAGATTGGGCTCACGGACACAAGATTGCAGTTCAAGCACAAAGTCTGCTTATTCCTTCTAACTCTCCATTTATCTTTTAAAAATTAAATTGCATTGCAGGGTAAGTCACTTCAAATAAAATTTATTAAGTGCAAAATGTTCAGGAGTGTTAACCATTTCTCAGATGCCTGGTTTATTATCACTGTAGGTGTTATCCAGAGTCACAAAGTGAGGAGACTCACAGCTTGGAGTCTGACTCCAGGGGAAATTCCAGCTACTCTATTCCCTGCCTTGCCAAAAAGCTGACTCTTTCTCTCTAAGCCTGTTTCCTGAGGTTGCAGATTACTGAATGAGCTGATGCTAAAGTTATTATGCATGTAATTGCATATAGTAAAAACATATTTTCATATTCTGTCTGACACATAGTAATTGTTCAATAAACAACAAAGTCTCATTTACATGACTTATTTTATTTAATTTCCATATAAAATCCAAGGATATTATCACCTTCATACACCTGAAAAGCTGAGGCTCAGAAATAACACAAGTATGGCTAATATGGACAATAGACTCAACGTCATAAATGATTTAGGCATTAGGTAATTTAGCTCAAATCCTACTTTCACAGTTATAATTTTAACTGAATAGGAAAGAAATTAGATTCGGGTCACTTTAATTTGGAAGGATTCGAGAGAATCCAGAGGCAATTTTGATAAAGGAAGATGCTGTGCCCATCACTGCCTATCGAAAGAATCTGAAATCACTTTAAAGAGCTTTCAACTTAAGAAAATCTACTTTCTTTTTCATTTGTTAATTAGGAAAAGAAAACTCAAAACAAGTTGGTATTACATGTAACAATGACAAAGCAATTCTGTGACAGAATTGTTGTCTGATGGATGCCTGAGTTTTCTGATTCTAGATCCCAAATATTTATAGACTGTGAGAAGGCACCTTGCTAGCACTGGTCAAGTCAATGTTTCTGACTTTTTTTATTATCAGTGAAGAGGGCTTTTTGTTATAGTTTTAATTTTCTTTTATTCTAGAAATTGCCTCAGACAGGGATTGATGTCAGGAGGCTTCAAGGAGAGAAATATACATGAATGGGAGACCCCAGGTTGCAGGCAACAAGAGTCACAGGTATGGGAGAAACCAGGAAGTCTGTGCCATGTTAACTTTGCTCATCTCATCGTGCTTTGTACTCAGATAAGAATATCATCCAGAAACACAGCATGTTACTTCTTGTAAGTGAGTCTTACTGTTCCACAAAATATACAAGTTTAAAAGCCAGAATGGAAATCAGACTACAACAAATAATTCAGCCAACTTCAATATTCAAGAAAACTGTATAAAAATATGCCACAATGTTATTTCAAACAGAAAGGCAAGCCTCCGCTGATGGGACTTCCTCCTTGATGAGGCTGACTGCTCCTCACCAGACAGGCCTCAGGTTTCTGAAATATGATACTTGAAGAAAACTGGACTGAGTCTATTCAACATTGTATTTGAGATTAATTCCAACAAGCTTAAGATATGCCCATTAGACATTTTCTGGGATGTTACTGCCTAAAAAAACTAATAATTGCAACACTAAATAATTCTTTACAAGGCTCGTAAAACCAATCTGTAACTTTAGGCATAGTAAAACAGTTAAACATGCTATACTAAAGACTGTTCTTAAAAAGCATTTACTTCCTTGGCTGACCACGTGCTTGTGAAGCTAAGCAAACAACTTGACAGCCTCACTTAGGTGGAGAGAAGCTTCCTTGGCAAGAGCTGACCACAATGCCAAGCCACACACAGGAGACTCTCCGAGTGCCCCATTTGGGTTGGGCTTTGAAGCTGGCTTTATACAGGGTCTCAACAATCACGCAGAGACTTTTGGGTTTTATTTACTTGTCAAATAAAGCAATAAAAAAGAGACTTTTGGTTTTGTTTGCCTTTCTGTCTTTCTAGTCTATCTTTCATGCCAGCAGTAGGGTGGTATTGAGGGTGGTTTTCCTCCTTTAGCTGAACCATTCCCAGTGTCACAGCAGCAACCACAGCATTCAGATGAGAAAGCTGTCTCTTTGACGGATTCTTTTAGGAGCACACTTGCTGCTATCCCAGAAGCCCCTGACAAGTGTGTCCCCATGTCTCTCGGCTTCATGAACCAATCACTACAGAAGGGATGGGATTAAGTTTTCCCCAGGAGTAAGGGGGAAAGTCACAGCACATATGGGAACAATTAGGAAAGGGTGAAGAAGAATGGATGCTGAGACAAGCAAACACGGTTCCACACCACAGACCTTAACCTGAAAACAAGTCCTCTCCTGGCCCTAGGCAGATTCCTACACTTAATCTCTCCTCCTCCACTGACATTCTCAGCTGTGAGTATCTTCAATGTATCATGTTCTCCTGTAACACCCTATGACAGCTAAAACATTCTAATGAAGTCATATTTTAGGTGTTTTGGAGCAGTGGTTCTCAAAGTTTAAAGGAAAGAATCACCTAAAGATTTATTACAATTTAGGTGCTGGTGTGCCACACCCAGAGGTTCCAAATTCACTCTGTGTGTGTGTGTGTGTGTGTGTGTGTGTGTGTGTGTGTGTGTGTGTGTGTGTAAGAGAGAGAGAGACAGAGAGAGAGAGAGAGAGAGAGAGATTGCCTGCAGGTGGAGGGGTTGTCGTTTTAACAAGCAATCCAAATGATTTGAGTGCAGGTAATCAATGGACCTTGCTGAGAAACATCCAATTTAGAACCTACAAAATGTTAAAACTATGTGGCCAAAAGAATTTGGAGTTTAAATCACAGCAATATTTCTATTCATGAAGGTTTAAAAATAATTCATCACTCCAGGAAAAAGAAGAGCATGCATGTTTTAGATTTTCCACAGGTTGTTACATATTTTCCAGAATCCTATCAGGTAATTAGGGTGAGTGGTATTATTCTGACTTTGCTGATTAGGCGATTAATGCAGGTAAAGGGATTTGCCAAATGTTATATAACTGCCTGGGGCATAAACCCTGCCAGGTCTCCTGACTTTTGTACAGAGGTCAAGTAATATGGCATTCCCTCTACCACTACTAAAGTCAAAAGCATTGGGAAAAGCATGCAGAAAATATAAACACATTTCCTAATCTAATTTTGGATCACGATTTCCTCATCTCTCCAATTCTCTATCAGTAGGCAACTTTGGGGGAGGCAGCGAACTAAAAAGAACTTAGTTATATTCTACTTTTAAGTATTTGCCTTGGGGACCCATTATGGGGAAACTTAAATCTCACAGATATGTTACTGGGGGAAAAAACACTTTCTGTAATCCCCTACAGAAAAAACATTATCACATATTTTCCATAGCTGAGGGTTTGGCTGGCATTAACCATGATAGATACAATCTGAGTTTTTAACTTACTATAGATCTAAGCTTGAGAAGAGACAAATGGAAAAACAGGTCTCCTTTTAAGATCCCACAAATGTGGCATATTTTCAAGAGAGGAAGGACGCAGGTGGCTTCTTTGATTTCAGAAACTTCAACTGGAACTTCCTAATGTGTTGGCTGGTTGGGTTTCACATACCATATCATGAGATTCTTTACAGAAGATAAAGACTCTTTGATAGTGAAGAAGAATTCTAATTCTACTGTAGAATTATTACCATCAAGAGAAAACCTGCATTCTCCCCCACGAGAAAAACTCCAAATATCATGGACAAAACAAAGAATTCTCTAATCAAATTAGTAAAAGAAACCCCCAGCAGAAACAGTGCATCTTTTTGAAAGTTAAAGATGTTATGGGTCAGGCACAGTGGCTCACGCCTGTAATCCCAGCACTTTGGGAGGCTGAGGTGGGTGGATCTCTTGAGGACAGGAGTTCAAGAACAGCCTGGCCAACATGGTGAAACCCTGTCTCTACTAAAAATACAAAAAGTTGCTGGGTATGGTGGCGGGCACCTTTAATCCCAGCTACACAGGAGGCTGAGGCAGGAGAATCACTTGAACCGGGGAGGCGGAGGTTACAGTGAGCTGAGATTGCATCATTGCACTCCAGTCTGGGCAAAAAAAATGAAACTCTATCTCAAAAAAATAAAGTTATGAATAGAGAAAATGTTTTGTGTGTCCAATCTCTCTGGCTTCTGGGTGGAAAATGCCATTTGCTATTACACAGTAGTTTAATAGAAGAGCATCAAATAACCATGTTTATTTGCCAAAAACCTACTGTTTAGTGAACTACAAAAAATGGTTTATAAAATCACTAGAAGCTGGCCAGGTGTGGTAGCACATGCATGTAATCCCAACACTTTGGGAGGCCGAGGTTGGTGGATCACCTGACGTCAGGAGTTTGAGATCAACCTAACATAGTGAAACTCCATCTCTATTAAATATAAAAAATTACCCGAGTGTGGTGGTGCATGCCTATACTCCCAGCAACTTGGGAGGCTGAGGCAGGAGAATCATTTGAACCTGGGAGGCAGAGGTTGCAGTGAGCCGAGATTGCGCCATTGCACTCCAGCCTGGGCAACAAGAGCAAAACTCATTCTCAAGAAAAAAAAAGAAAAATTATCAGAAGCATTATTCAAATAGTAATTTTAAAAGCATGGTGGCTCACACCTGAAATCCCAGCACTTTGGGAGGCTGAGGCCGGTGGATCACCTGAGGTCAGGAATTTGACACCAGCCTAGCCAACACGGTGAAACACCGTCTCTGCTAAAAATACCAAATTAGCCAGGTGTGGTGGTACACACCTGTAATCCCAGCTACTCCAGAAGCTGAGGCAGGAGAATCGCTTAGAACCTAGAAGGTGGAGGTTTCAGTGAGCCGAGATCTTGCCACTGCACTCTAGCCTGGGCAACAGAGGAAGACTGTGTCTAAAAAAAAAAAAAAAAAAAAAAAAAAAATCTTTTCGATAGCAGAGTTGTGCAGCGGAAGCGTGCCGGGCCTATAAAAAGCAGTTTTTTCCTAGAATACCCTTCACTTCTGAGCATTCACCAACCTAGGAACCTAGACAAATGGGCTTAGTTTGCCAGTCACAAACCAAGTGACCCATCCTGTCAGCTGTCATTGTCCTCTAATTTAGAAAATTGTCTCTGGCAATCAGCTGTGGCCCTGTTTATTGTCCAGTACCAAAAAACTCCCCAAATAAAATATTTATCATAGCAGATCAACTCTGAACCAGAAGGAAGAGGGCACAAAACAGATATCGTAAGCCCCAATACCTTACCAAAAGATTGTTGTCTTGTAGCTGACACTTTGTTTTGTGGGGCTCAATCATGCTGCTTTAAAATAGAATTGCTTTCTTTAAACACACAAAGTTTCTTTGTTGGAAATGCTCATTTTGCTACACAACAATATTCTGGGTTTATTGAATCCCCTCTAATTTCCTCTATTGTCTGAATTTGGAAAAGAACTGAAAAGCACATTAGACATTTGTCCTCTTTTCTTACAAAAAGCAAAAATGCATTAGAGGGCAAGCACGCCCGCTCCTGCAGGACAGGTCCATCCCACTCAGCATCCTCAGTGGGGGTCCTCTGCACCTTGGGATATTAGCCAATTGAGCCACCAGGTCAAAAGACAAGCAACACTACTCAGGGCTACCTCACAAGAAACAGCTGCTGGACACAGTCTAGACTTGGGTTAACCCAGGGGGGTTTGTTTACTTCCGCAGAGTAAGTGAGGCAGAGATAGCAGACAGCTGTGCCATGCCCAGACCTGCCCCTAAAATATGTATTCCTGGGTGGGAAACACCAATTAAAGTCTGACCCACAGTTCTTCCCTTTCCACCTGGGTTCTGTGCCCCAGCATGAACATCCTCCTTTAAACGTCGGTGGAAACACCAGTGCAAACATCAATCTACTCAGTGCACACCCCTTGCAAACAACTGTCCCTTGGGCCTAAGGTTGTGCAAACTGGCCTTGATCTGGAAGGAGGCCCAGGCAGGCCTGGGCAGTGGGCATTTGGCTGTTTGAGAAAGAGGCTTGGGTTCCTGGGAGCCCAGAGAACAGATTAGAAGTGGGAAGACTGGCTGTGTGCATCACAGCTTTTCACTCTGTGCAGAGAAATACACCCAGAGAAGAAGAGCCAGTGCAGAGGTCCCTAAATACAGGGCCCAGCAGCCTGTTTTTGGGGTCTAAGGACAGGAATGCTGCGGGCAACCCCAGGGTGGGGTCTCTGGGATGAACCTGGAGACCTGAGCTTGCACAGCTTCCTTGGTAAATTGAGGAGGCATGGACCACAAGATTGCCAAGCTCCTTTCTATCCAAACTTGATATTGTTAGATTCCATGATCCAGTTCATCACGGTTGATGGCTGAATCTCATGCACTAGAAAAAGGTAATATAAAAGAAAAAAATAAAAAGATATTCAAGTGAGTATAAAGACCTTTAATCTCAGTCTTTCTAGTTCAAAGAGACGGAACAATGAGAGATGCTGGTTCATAGAGCTGTTAGATTTAACTTCCACAGATGACTCAGCAGAGGATAACTACTAATCAGAGTACAACATCAAAACTGTAACCAGTATAATCACTGGATTATGAGCAACTCAAAATAGCTCCAGTTTCCAAAGGGCCATAAACTGCACATATCAGTACTATGTGCAATTAACACATAATTTATTATGAAAATGTGGACATGCCAGGTAAGTAAGGGGATTTAGGTTGACTTTTTATAATACTTTAAATTTGAAATGCCATTTCTGTGGATTGGATGACATCTTCCAGGTGCTTTAATTTGGTTTACCTCCTGATAGATCCTGACAGAAAGAGGTAGCACCAGCGTCTATCAAACCTCAATACAGTTGTAAAACACAGAGAGCCTGCTTGCCTACACATGGAGAAACATTGTTATCACAAGACACAGAAGGCAAACTTCCAATCTGGCATACTTACCTGTCCTCTCATATTTGGGGCAATGAGAATGGTGGACCAGATGGCTGAGTAGATGCCAAAGAACACCAGACTGGTCAGCATGCTTCCCCAGACAGCCAGATGACTGAACTGCAGAGGAAAACAGTCACTCAGACAGGGCTTCTTGGCTGGCATGGCAGATTCACCCGAACTCCACCCACTACAGAATCCCTGCATCCTAGCTACCTCTTCTTATGGAAAGATTCTCATGGCTCATAGCTTACTGGGGAGGTCAATCTTCCTAATTTCCTTGTCTCAGAATTTTTAACAATGACTTCAAGTAATGAGTGTCCCCAAAGTACTCTGAAGATGAACACACTTTTGCTGTCATGGCTGGCCTTTCTCTAAGATTTATCCCATAGTGACAGCAGGCCCCTCTCAGTTCATGGCAAGGGTTTGCTCCAACCTAAGGCTGTATACAACAAGGATTCATTAATCTGGTGAGAGAGTGGCTGAATGGACAAAATCAATAATATGTTTTTATTGATCATTTTGGGACTTCAATTGTTCTGTTCAATTTGCAAAAACTGTTTTTAAAAAAAATCTGAAATGGATATTGCCTCTTAACAATGTTTCTTTAAGCATCTACTGAGTTGTTCATTTTTCCTCCTTTGTCCTCTTAATATGATGATCCTTGACTTCTTTCTTTCTTCCACAACTCACAATCTAATCCATATGCAAGTTCTGTTAGCTTTTAAAAAGATAAAATAAATCCAGGCTCTGACCACTTCTCACTGCCTCCTCCTCTAACATCCCAGGCTAATTAAGACATCATCACATTTAACCTGGATTAATTGCCACTGTCTCTTAGGGCAGTGGGCCCCAACCCACGACACAGGCCATGGACTGGTACCAGACCATGGCCTGTTAGGAACCAGGCTGCACAGCAGGAGGTGCGCAACAGGTGAGCAAGCAAAGCTACCTCTGTATTTACAGCCATTCCCTATCACTGGCATTCCCACCTGAAGCTCTGCCTCCTGTCAGATCAGCAGTGGCATTAGATTCTCATAGGAGCACGAACCCTATTGAGAACTGCGCATGCGAAGGACCTAGGTTGCGTGTTCCTTCTGAAAATTTAATGCCTGATGATCTCTCACTGTCTCCCATCACCCCTAGATGGGGCTATCTAGTTGCAGGAAAACAAGCTCAGGACTCCCACTGATTCTGTATTATGGTGAGTTGTATAATTATTTTCTTATACATTACAATGTAATATATAAGAGAAATAAAGTGCATAATAAACGTAATGTTCTTGAATCATCCTGAAACCAGCTCCTAGGAGACTCATGGAAGTCCCCTTGTCCATAGAATAACTGTCTTCCATGAAACCAGTCTCTGGTGCCAAAAAAGTTGGGGACTGCTATCTTAGGAGATTACCTATTCCACATTGACTTACCACCTCATACTCATTTTTTTTTTTTTTTAGCAGAGCATTTAAATATCAGGCAGGTCATGACACTTCATGAGAAACAAACATAAAGATTTAGATATAATCTTTAAATGCTGAAAATAACGAAAATGTCTAAAATAAGAGACTGCTGAAATAAATGATGGAACATCTATAAAACTTAATCTTTAATCATAAACAATAATTTTGTTGAATTAGATTTTAAGGCATAGAAATTGTGTCTAATTTTTTTTAATAACAAAGCCTTGTGTTCTGCATCATCTTATTTAAAAATACACACACACACAGACATAGAACAATGTCTGGAAGGATCCCCAGCAAAGCATTAGTAGTGGCTGTCTCTTGATGATAAAATTATGGAAATTAAATTTTTTTAGTCTTTATTTTCTATATATTTGTGTATGTATATGCTTTTTGTTTTTACAATGAGGCTTTACATTTGAAATGAGATGACTGTTGTTAGCTTAGAGGTGTATTAGGTGCCAAGCAAATAAATCACCAAGAGAATTTGGATTGCAAATTTGCTCCAATAAAGATCAATCCACAATTTTTACATAACAAATTTGAAATAAGATAGCCAGATGTTGTTTATTGTTTCCCCTAGGCTTAGAAATAAATCATAGCATGAAAATGTCTATACTGAATAGAGAAACAATTCTAGACAAAACTTACTTTAGTCCAAGCTGCAGTCTCAAAACCAGCTTTCTGACAATCAGTAACAAGAACATACTGTGGAAAGACAGAAGAGTTTGAAAAAACATTATTCTGAGTGAGTTATTTTCACTTTCCATGAGAAATCCCATGTCTCCACTCCAGATCTGCTTTCTCCAAGGCAGCTCAAGTTTGAAAATACAGCCATCTCAGCAGCTAACTCTCTAGGGGTTGTTTTTAGGGAACATACAGGCAGATTCACTTCCAGAAGAGCTCTCAATCTAGTGATGGACCTTCTCATAAATAGTAGAGAAAGACTTTCTGTTAGCTTGGATGATTTGGGAGACACCATCTTTCTGAGTGTTGTTCTCCTTTGCAGGTAGATGTGAAATGGTCATTTGAAGAATGGGGAAATCTGCTAATCACCTGTCAAGAAACTCTGACTTTGTATAACCTTCAAAAACAATAATGTAAGCACTTCATAACCATTCAGGCCTTTAAAGGATCTATCAAATACATTTTGAAGATTTAAAATAAGGAATGATAACAAGGAAGGTCTTATATAAAGGGTTTAGAGAAGTACAAGCCACACATGAGCTGCTTAAGAATGACTCAGTAAACAGAGATAAACTTACCGTGTAAACAATATTTTCAACAAATCAACAGGCAGTGGCATGACCACTGGTCAACACAGTATCTGAAAAAGAAAGAGGCTACTGCTAACTTCCTAGATCCTGAGCATGGCCACATATTTTATTCAAAATATTAAACACAGAACTTTAGAAACATCTGTAAACTCACAGGGGCATTTCAAAATCCCATTCTCGTGATTCTAATGCCTAATTTTGTTTCTAGGGCTAAAGTTTTGCATCTTATAGTCTGTCTAAATGAAGCAAACAAAGTCAAGCTTTCAACAAACCAAACAACCAAACACTTGATCTGCATTGGAATTTACATTTTTATGAAGATTAAAATTTCTATTTATCCAGTTTTTTGATAAGGAATAAGAAATTATTAACCTATTTTTATAAAATGCCAACATTGAACCTTTTTTCAAGTGTTCATTTATGATTCATCTTTAATTCTTTGCTAAATTTGGATTACAGATCAATAAAAAGATAACTATATGAATATAAAATCAATTTATAATGGCTGAGTTCTGAAATAATTTGGGGGGATATTTACTACTCATGTTCTTATTTGCAACTATGTGAGTTTCTGGAATCTATCAGTTGGAGGAATGCAAGCAATCCAATGACAGATGTTTAGAAAATACAGGAAGGATTTCAAAGCTTCAGTTTTCCTGTCTTGTCTTGTTTTTTCAAGGATGTCTATAACAATGTATATGACAACCACTAAGGCACAACTCTGGGAGAGTCATCTAATCATGTCAACTAAACCTGCACGGAGAAGCCTGATTTTTATCCTGAGGGGTCAGAGCCTATTTTTAAGATAAGCCTCAGTATCTTTGTATGACAGAGCCAACCACCTTTTATTCTTTTATATTTTTTTCAACTTTTATTTTACATTTGGGGGTAAAGTGCAAGTTTGTTAAAAAGATATTGTGGAATGTTAAGGCTGGAGTACAAACAAATCCATCATCCAGGTAGTGAGCATAGCACACAATTGGTAGTTTTTCAACCCTTTTTTCTCTCCCTCCCTTCTCATGTTCCCCAGTGTCTATTGTTCCCATCTATATGTACATGCATACTCAATGTTTAGTTCCCACTTATAAGTGAGAACATGTGGTATTTAGTTTTATTCTTTTTTATACTCAGTCCAGATTTGTGGCTCACAGGCTGGGTAGATAAAGACTTTTGTGTCCAAATTTCCAACCAGTAGCTGCTATACACACATATCTGGGCCTGCCGATTTTCCCATTTGCTTGTTGAAGAATCGACTTTTATGAAAGAATCAAGATCTGTTTATTTTCCTAAAACAACAGTAATGACGGAATCATAAGTAGAAGTGGGTAACCATGGGTCCCTGAATCCAGCTTCTAGGCACACACTTTCTCCTGTTTCTCCACAGTTAAGTTTGTGGATAAGGGAAGATTAATCATAAAAGCAATATTATAGGCTGCCCTAAACAGAGGGCCTGCTGCTGGGTAAGGTAAGAGTTACACTAGGAGAACAGGAAGACATATGGCCACTGACTTAAAACGGAACAATCCTAAATCTTAGGGGAGAGGTGGAAAATAGAGCCTGGAGCTTAGGCAGGACTTTATTAAAAGGGAAGGAAGGGAGCAAGTTAAATAAGGAATGGACAGGCTAAACTAACCCCAAGAAGGCAGCAAATCACTGTATTAGCAAATAGCTATTCAAAATTGTAGGAGTTTACTTTTTAGTAACTGGCCTTAAGATTGGTTTTACTAACAAGCGCAACACTATTTTTTCTTTTTTAGTTTTCTCTCTCTTTTTTTTTTGTCCTTTTTATAATGGAAAATTTCAAACATACACAAAAGGAAAGAATAGTACAACCACCCCCCGGGTATCCATAACCTAACAATAACAATTGTTAAGCATTCGGCCACTCATGTTTCTTCAGCTCCCCCACCTCCTCCCTATCCTCCCAGGTTCCCACTGAATTATATATCATTTCATTCATAAATAATTCTGTATATTTAGTTACAGCTCAATGAATTTCCACAAAGTGAACATGCTCATGCAAACCACACCTGCACTGGGAAATAGAAATTACAAACACCCGGAGCCCCCTCTGCAATACTCTCTCAGTCCTTTCCTCACTCCTTCCCAAAAGAGTAGCTACTATCACCTATTGTGAACCTTGCATATATGGATTCATAGAACATGTGTATTTTTTGGTTTGGCTACATTTGTCTAACATTGTTGGTAAGATTTATCCATGTTGTTGCATATAGCCATAGTTTATTTATTTTCATTGCTCTATAGTATTTTATTGTAAGAATACACTACAATTTAGTCATCCATTCTACCATTGATGCACAACTGGGTTGCTTCCAGCTCTTGACTATGACAAATAATGCTGCTATGAACATTCTTTTGGTACACACTTGTGTGCATTTCTGTTGGGTATATAACAAGTATGAAATTGCTGGGTCTTAAAATATTTATATATTAACTTCATTAAATGCTGCCTAAGAATTTTTCAAGTGGTTGTGCTATTTTACCTTCACCAGTTCTAGTTGTTCCATATCCTTGCTGTCACTTGGCATTATCTGTATTTTTTATTTTGACCAGACTGGTCTGTGTGTCATAGTATCCCATTGTCATTTTAAGTTGCATGCCTTTGATGAAGACATTTTCTGATGCTTAATTGGCTCTTTGAATATATTCTGTAACTGATTTGTAGGAGTTTTTTATATATTCTGGATATAAGTTTTTTATTGAACATAAATATTGCAGATATCTTCTCCCACTTTAACTTCCCTTTTCTTTCTCTTAATCATGACTTTCTTAATACAAAGTTCTTAATTTTAATGTAGTCCAACTTAGCAGACTTTTTCTTTATAGTTAATGCTTATTTAGTCTTGCTCAAGAAATTTTTGTCAACTCCAGTGTCATAAAGATACTCTCTTATGTTATAGAAGCTTGTTTTTTTTTTTTTTTTTTTTTTTGAGATGGAGTCTCACTTTGTCACCCAGGCTAGGGTGCAGTAGCACAATCTCGGCTCACTGCAACCTCCTCATCCCGAGTTCAAGCAATTCTCCTGCCTCAGCCTCCCGAGTAGCTGGGACTACAGGTGTCCACCACCATGCCTGGCTAATTTTTTGTATTTTTAGTAGAGTAGGGGTTTCACCTTGTTAGCCAGGATGGTCTCAATCTCCTGACCTCATGATCCACCCACCTCGGCCTCCCAAAGTGCTGGGATTCCAGGCATGAGCCACCACTCATGGCCATTGTAGAAGCTTTTTTTTTTTTTTTTTAATTTTTAACCTTTCACATTTAGCTTTATAACCCACCTACGATTGACCTTTGTTTATGATGTAAGATAGGGGTCAAATTCTTTTATTCCCCCATAATGATATCCAAGTGATCTACTAACATTTATTGAAAAGATTATTGTTTCCTCACTACACTGCAGTTTCACCTTTGTCATAAATCAGGTGATGGTATAAATATGAGTTTGTTTCTGGTTTCTTTATTTGTATGTCCTTCTGCTAATACCATCTTATTGTAATTGTAATAAAGATTGAAACATCTGATGGTATACATTCTTGAGCTCTGTTCTTCTTCAGAACTTTCTTGGTTCTTCTTGGTCTTTTAAATTTTCAAATACATTTAAAATTAGCTTGTCAATTTTCAAATTACCTGACAGGATTTTGAGTAGGATTGCATTCAACCATAATTTAGTAAATAGAAATGACTTATTTACAATATAGAATCTTTCTGTTCATAAGCATTTTGTATCTTTTTAATGTACATGATACTTATATCCTTTTTTAAAATTTTACTTTAAGTTCTGGGATACATGTGCAGAATATGCAGGTTTGTTACCTAGGTATACATGTGCCATGATGATTTGCTGCACCTATCAACCTGTCATCTGGCTTTTAAGCCCCACATGCATTAGGTATTTGTCATAATCCTCTCCCTTCCCTTCCCCTCCAACCCCTGACAAGCCACAGAGTGTGATGTTTCCCTCCCTGTGTCCATGTGTTCTCATTGTTCAACTCCCATTTATGAGGGAGAACATGCAGTGTTTGGTTTTCTGTTCCTGTGTTAGTCCGCTGAGAATGATGGCTTCCAGTTTCATCCATGTCCCTGCAAAGGACATGAACTCATTCTTTTTTATGTCTGCATAGTATTCCATGGTGTACTCTAATTTGTATATGTACAAATTAGAACTCAGGATTAAGAAACTCACTCAAAACCACAAAATTACATGGAAATTGAACAAGCTGCTCCTGAATTACTACTGGGTAAATAATGAAATTAAGGCAGAAATAATGAAGTTTTTTGAAACCAATGAGAACAAAGAGACAATGTACCAGAATCTCTGGGACACGGCTAAAGCAATGTTAAGAGGGAAACTTACAGCACTCAATTCCCACAACAGAAAGCTGGAAAGATCTAAAATCGACCCCCTAACATCACAGTTAAAAGAACTAGAGAAGCAAGAGCAACCAAATTCAAAAGCTAGCAGAAGACAAGAAACAACAAAGAACAGAGTAGAACTGAAGGAGACAGAGACACAAAAAACCCTTCAAAAAATCAATGAATCCAGGAGCTGTTTTTTTTTTTGAAAAGATTAACAAAAGAGATGGACCACTAGCTAGACCAATAAAGAAGAAAAGAGAGAAGAATCAAATGGATGCAATAAAAAATGATAAAGGGGATACCATCACTGATCCCACAGAAATAAAAACTACCATCAGAGAATACTATAAATACCTCAATGCAAATAAACTAGAACATATAGAAGAAATGGATAAATTCCTGGACACATACACCCTCCCGCCATGAAACCAGGAAGAAGTTGAATCCCTGAATAGACCCATAACAAGTTCTGAAATAGAACCAGTATTTAATAGCCTACCAACCAAAAAAAAAGCCCAGGACCAGATGGATTCATAGCCGATCTCTACCAGAGGTATAAAGAGGAGCTGGTACCATTCCTTTTGAAACTATTCCAAACAAAAGAAAAGAAAGGACTCCTCCCCAACTCATTTTATGAGGCCAACATCATCCATACCAAAGCCTGCCAGAGACACAACAAAAAAAGAAAACTTCAGGCCAATATCCCTTATGAACATCGATGTGAAAACCCTCAATAAAAGACTGGCAAAATGAATCCAACAGCACATCCAAAAGCTTATCCACCATATGCAATACTTTTTTAAAAGGCATGCTTCAATAAAGAAACACTTCCATTTATTCAGGAGAATAATCTTTGAGTCTAACATAGATTAACACAGATTAGTCTATCTCTTTGAGTCTAACATAGATTATAGCCTTAAAATGAATAAGATTCTTCTTTTATGTACTCAATAAATGTTTACTTACAGTCTATTTTATGCTGGGTACTATTATGGGAACTGGAGAGAGAAGGTCTGTCTTTATAGAGCTTGCAGTATAGTGACAGAGATAGAACATGTATTCATAAACAGTTCCACACTAAAATGATGGGTGTAATAAGTGCTACGAAGAAATATATTAGCCAAGTGTGGTGGTGTTCACCTGTGGTCCCAGCCACTTGAGAGGCTGAGGCAGGAGGACTGCTTGAGCCCCAGAGTTTGAGGCTGCAGTGATCCATGATTGTGCCACTGCACTCCAGCCTTGGTGACAGAGTGAGACCTTGTCTAAATAAAAAAGCATAATAATACAAAGAAACATAAGGTAGGGTAATCACATTCAGGGAGACAGGGACTGCTACTTTAGATAGGGAGCTCTGGAACAATCTTTTTGAAGAGGTGACACTTGAGCAGGTCAGAATGGTATGATGGAATGAGTTAAGTGAATGTCTAGAGGGCAGAGAGAAGAGACACTGTGCAGAGTCTGAATACAGACAGCGCTTGATGAGCCCAAAGATCACCACAAAGACCAGTCACGCTGCAGGCACTGGGAGGAGGAAACGAGAATACACACAGTCCAAGGAGCAGATAAACACAGACCATAGTAAAGAGCTTGGATTTCTTTGTTAATTGTGATAGGTAACCACTGGAGGATTCAGAGCTGGGAATGAAATGGTATAAGATACATTCTTACAGGAATAGTCCAGCTTTTATGGGAGAATAGATCATAGATTACCAGAAATAGAATAATAATAAATGCAAAGGCAGCTTAGAAATGATTATATCTGTCCAGGGGTTGATATTGGTGGTGTTAAAACTGTGAGGTCCAATATGATGGCCACCAGCTGCATTTAGTTGTTTACATTTAAATTAATTAAAATGCCATAAAAATTTATTCCTCTCAGGAGCTCGGGAGGAAAGGGAGAATGGGGAGTTATTGCTTAATGACTACAGAGTTTCAGTTTGGGGTGATAAAAAATTTTTGGAAATACATAGTTGTGATGATTGCACAACATTCTGAATGTAATTAATGCCTCTGAATTTTATGTTTAAAATGGTTAAAATGGCAAAGCTTATTACATATGCTTTTACCACAATAAAACATTGTAACATTAATCATAGAACCAAAACCATAAAACCATTTTTTTAATTGTATATATTTACAGAGTACAAGTGCAATTTTGTTACATGGATATATTGGGTAGGAGTGAAATCTGGGCTTTTAGTGTGTTTATCACTGGAACAATGTACACTCACCAATTTCTTATCACCCTCCCCCTTCCCACCCTCTTGCCCTTCTGGGTCTCCAGTGTCTTATCATTCTACACTCTATGTTCATGTGTACACATTATTTATTTCCCATTTTTAAATGAGAACATGCAGTATTTGATTTTATATTTCTGAGTTGCAAAACTATAAAACTCTTAGGATAAAAAATAGCAATAAACCTTTATGGCCTTGGGTTTGACAAGAGTTTCTTAGATATGGCACCAAAAGCACAGTGATAAAAGAAAATGAACCGGGCTTCATCAAAATTAGAACATTTGTCCTTCAAAGGACATAACAAAGAAAATAAAAGGAGAGGGCCGGGCGCAGTGGCTCACACCTGTAATCCCAGAACTTTGGGAGGCTGAGGTGGGCAGATCACGAGGTCAAGAGATTAAGACCGTTCTGGCTAACACGGTGAAGCCCCGTCTCTACTAAAAACACAAAAAATTAGCTGGGTGTGGTGGCGGGCACCTGTAGTCCCAGCTACTCGGAAGCTGAGGCAGGAGAATGGTGTGAACCCGGGAGGCGGAGCTTGCAGTGAGCTGAGATCAAGTCACCACACTCCAGCCTGGGCAACAGAGTGAGACTCCATCTCAAAAAAAAAAAAAAAAAAGAAAAGAAAAGAAAAGAAAAGGACAACCAGAAAAGTGGAGAAAATGTTTGCAAATTATATATTTGATTAGAAATATGTATCTAAAACACACAAAGAACTTTTACAACTCAACAGTGAAAAGAAAAAAAACATAAAAATAGACAAAACATTTAAATAGGCTTTTTTGTAAAGAAGATATAAGTGTCGAATAAGTGCATGAAGAAAAGCCTAAGATCACCAGCCATCAAGAAAATACAAAATCAAAACCACAAGGAGACATCACTTAACACCCAATAGTGTGCCTATAATAAAAAAGGACAAACAATAACCAGTGTTGGTGAGGATGTAGAGAAATTAGATCTTTCATACATTTCCAGTGGGAAAGTAAAATAGTACACACTTTGGAAAACTGTGAGGTGGTTGCTGAAAAGAATATACATAGGTAGCTTATGACCTAGCAATTCCATTCCTAGGTACATACACAAGAGAAATGAAATTTATGAATGAAACATACAAAAGCTTGGTCCTAAATGTTATAGCAGCATTACCATAATTATTAATAATAGCCTAAAATAATACATAGCATTTTTCATTATTCACAGTAGCCTGTTCAGAACCCAAATGTTGATAACCCAACAGTGAATTGGCAAGCAAAATGTGTTGTATCAATATAATACAAACTTATTAGGTCATAAACATTAATGAAGTGCTGATACACGCTACAACATGAATGCACCTGGAAAACCTTTATAATAGACTGGGCGCAGTGGCTCACGCCTGTAATCCCAGCACTTTGGGAGGCCAAGGCAGGCAGATCACAAGGTCAGGAGATCGAGACCATCCTGGCTAACATAGTGACACCCTGTCTCTACTAAAAATACAAAAAAAAATTATCCAGGCATGGTGGCGGGCACCTGTGGTCCCAGCTACTTGGGAGGCTGAGGCAGGAGAATGGCGTGAAGCCCGGAGGTGGCGCTTGCAGTGAGCCAAGATGTGCTACTGCACTCCAGCCTGGGGGACAAAGTGAGACTCCATCTCAAAAAAAAAAAAAAAAAGAAAAAGAAAACCTTATAATAAATGAAGAAGCCAGATACCAAAGGCCACATATTGTATGATTCCATCTCTATGAAATGTCCAGAAATTGTCACACCTATAGAGACAGAAAGAAGAGCAGTGGTTTCTAAGGACTAGCGCTGCCTGGGGGGAAATAGAGAGTGATGGTTAATGAATATAGGGTTTCTTTCAGAGGTGATAAAAATATTCTATAATGGATTGTAGTAATGGTTGTACAATTCTATGAATATGTTTAAAAAACTATACAATTGTACACTTTAAATAAATTGTATGGTATATGTTGTATCTCAATAAAGCTATTATTAAAAATTTGGTTCCTCAGTCACTTTAAATATGCAATAGCCACATGTGGCTAGTGGCTATTGTATTGGACAGCACAGATACAGCACATTTTTATCCTCACAGAAAGTTCTATCAGACAATGCAGGGTCAGAGTGGCTATGATAGACATGGTAAGAAGTGATACAAGTTGAAATTATTTCAAAGGTGGAAACGTGTGCCTTCGCTTTCCACTTGCATTTGCCCTAAGAGAGCCTACAGAAAACTTTGATTGGTGAAAAATTTAGAAGTTGTGGGAGACTAAGCTGAAAATCAAATTTTGCAGTTATGATTTAACAAGTTTTTGAGTTTCCTTCTAATAACAGTATTTCCAATGCTGGTTGATTCTTAGACTAAAAGAAATTAAACATAAAGGGCATTTGTCTAAAAGGACAATGTGTTTCATATTTTATGGATGTACACATAATAAACAAAATTGTTAGATATTGAAAAAACATCTTATATAAGCACTTATATATGACAAGCAGTTTTAAGCACCTTACATATATTAGCGCCTTTAATACTTTAACAACTATTTGAAACAGTGTAATTAAGTGCATATTCCAGATGAGGTACAGAAAAGAGAAGTCAAATATGTCCAAGGTCACACAGTTAGTAAAAAAAAAAAAACTGTAAATTTTATAAACGAGTTTATATTCATGAACTGGGATAGAATAATGGCCTCCAAAGACTAAAAAAGATAACTTCAGAGGAAAAAAAATTAGACTAAGAAATACTCATTTGAAAAACTGACACCTAATAGAAAATTTCCAGGAGAGAATTATGGTGAACAGTAATAAGCTATAGGTCGGAAATAGTTTAAGCTAATATGACCCAACAATGCCATGAGCAGAGGGAGGTACCACTAAGTTTTATTTTATACATGTGCACTGTTATTTTAGTATATAAAACATACCTGATCTTATAGGAGCATTATTTATTTTAAAAGTGGGAAATGGCCTTCTCCAAAACTGTTGAAAGGCCTAGTTGCTTAATTCATGCCTATATATAAGTATCCATATGGTATTCTTAAAAGATGAGGAATCGGTTTCCATGGTGTGGACTCTGGGGAATCAAGAACAAATGTTTTCAGGAGCCATTTTTTATGGTAACTATGTTCTCTTTTCCATCACCTCCCTCTAAAATTTCAAGAAGAACAATCTGAAAACTTCCTTTTTAAAATCAAAACTTATTTTTCATTCTCCTGCCAATAACCACATTACACTTCAAGGAGGGTTGCTCGACTATGCTTGACAGGACACATGATGGGAAAACTCCAGTGTGGCCTGACACCAGGTATCTTAATGGACTTGGGTTCCTGTAAAGGTGACATGCTAGTTTTAACCTCGAATCAGTTTTTAGATCAAAGGCTAGGAGCAACCATGGGAGTACGCATATGGCTGTGATGGTTGAAAGAAATTTGATTCACTGAATTGCTTGAGTGGAAAAATTCACTTTGAAACTTAAAATGAACTATCACAAACTCCATCATCAAAGGAGCACTTTGAAAATTCTCTCTAAAATCACATGAAAATAAGCAAAGTGAAATTCTTGGAAGCATTCTAGTGAATGAACAATGTACCCATACGTACTCAAAAATATTTCTTCCAAATAATCATGTTGCTTTGCCCATGGTGAACATTGCTGATTTATGCTTGAGGCTCTCTGCATGGATGGCGGAGAAAATTGGTAAGATTTCCTGTCTTTGTGACATGATCCACACAGTATCAAAGGAAGAAATGAAGCCACTTTAGCAACTTTAGTACCTGGTCAAACAAAACTCATGTAGGGCTCAGGGTGTGGTCAGGCATCTAAGGGACAGCTTCAGGCAGCACTTGGTGAAAGGAAATAAGCCTGAAGGTGACCCTGTGTTAGACAAGGGTCCTTTGGCTTTGACAGCACCCCAGTTTGTCTCAAATTTCGAATTGGTGCCATGTTTCTATGCTTTTTTGGGAGGGAGGAGAATAAATTCTTCTAAATGACAATTAAGGGTGTAATAAGAACTCACTCATACTTAGGACAGCAAATCAGCACACCTATAAACAAGTACTCCAATCAGTTGTCATATCCTAGTTCTCTGGAGCTCACAATCCTTATTCCTACCACCTTTCACTCCCCTCAACTCAATAGCAGCCCCTACTCTTGCCAGATTGTATGTTTTTCTCTACAGAGCAGTCCTATCTTCTTTAGAAGCAAATCTTACCAGGTGACTCTCCTATCACCAACTCTTCATTGAGAAGTCCCTCCACCCACGTGTTAGTGATAAAGTCCTCCCTCACTTATTTGTCCCCTTTTCTAGCCCCCATCTCCTCTCTATGCTGTAGTTATCTTGACTGGGGTGGCTGTCCACCTTATAGGGGATGCTAGAAATGTGTAGAGGTGTGTTTTGATTGGTAGCTCCAGCAGGATAGGGAAAGTGAGAGGAAAGTGTCTTAGTTTTTCTGATCTACTGTAACAAAATACTATAAACTGCATGGTTTATAAACAATGTGAATTAATTTCTTAAAGATCTGGAGGCTGAGGAGTCCAAGATGAAGGAACTGGCAGATTTGGTGTTTGGCAAGGGCCCGTTCCTCATAGATGGTGTCTTCTTGCTATATCTCACATGGCGCAGGGGGCAATAAGCTCTCTGGAGTCCCTTCTATAAGGGCACTCATCCCATTTGTGAGAGGTTTGCCCTCAAAACCTGATCACCTCCAAGAGGCCCCATCTCTTAATACCATCACTTTATGGTTTTGGGTTTCAGCATATAAAATGTCGGGGTCTGGGAGCACAAACATTCAGATCACAGTAGGACGTTACCATATTTACTGGCCAGGATGAGGGGTGCTCAGTGTCCTGAACCCCTCGTCAGAGTCTGGCAAAGGAGAGTCAAGTTCAGGCATCCCCATCCCCAATAAAACACTTCCCATAGCCACAACAACTCAGGTCCTATGCCTCTGCTTGATCCTGGCCATGAATGCTCCTTCTCTGAATCCTTCCCCACACCTCCCTGACCTGTATGGCCACCCCCTACTCATCTTTCAAGAACTTCAATATCACTTCCTTGGAGAAGATTCTCCTGAACTTACTAAACTATGTTCTTTTATTATATAAGCTCTACCCACAGACCCCAGGACTCATCACATTGGTAAATAAGCAATATGTACACAATTTTTGACCATCAACTCTGACCTTAGGCAAGCTCCCAGAGGGCAAGAGAGGCAGGGCCTGGTGTATTAACATCTATATCCACTGTGCTCTCAGAGAGCCTCTTACATCATAGATATGCCACAATCTTGACGAACAAAGACACTCCTCTCAAAACACACTCCCTCCTCTCCAAACACATCCCATTCCTGGGTTTAATTCTCCCTAAACTCTCCCCTGGAATCTCTGCCAGTAGTTTTCCTTCTACTACTCACCTTAAAAGACACATTTGGCTCATTTCCCCAAAATGGTCTGATCATAAACATTTTTTAATTTAAATTCTATATTGACCCTTCAATGCCTAAGCAATTAAGTCCCAATTTCTTAACCTCACACTCAAAGCCTTTACAATTTAGTTTTCAACTGCCTTCCTAAACTTCCCCATCTTCCACCCTTTAAGTCCTGATCTACTCACAGTTTTCCACACCTACCCTGAATTTCCCCACTTTAGTTTCATTAATAGTTTTGTCACTGCAATGACAGAACTGTTAAAGCCCAGCTTAAATTTATTTAAAAGTTTACAAGTTGTTCTGGGAATCATATAGTTTGATCCTCAGTAGTGATAAAACAACATAAAATTATGAAAAATGTTATTATAACATAATGGAATTTCCTCTACTTTAAATATTTATTTTGCACCATCCCTGACCTCACTACCAAAAAAAAAAAATTCAAAGTGCCTGAGGTTTCCAGGCATTCTTAGCTCTATTTACTTACTTCCCACCTCAAATGGCCTTAGAATTCAAATTCTGTAGAAAATGGATTGCCATAAATAATCCAATGAAAATGGGTCATATTTTGCCATTAATAGAATCACAGTCAACAAGGACTAATAGAATTAGTCACTTAAGTATCTTTAGATATGGGAGACAACAGAAACAATAAGAATCTCTTCTCTTTGTTCCCAGCCTTGAATATAACTAGGAAGCCTTCCCAGAAGAAAGCAGCTGTGAAGGGTACCCATCAGGAATATCCGGCTCAGAAGCCAGGGCCTCAGAGACTGTTCTCTCACTGAGACCTAGAGAGGGAACTCCCTGTGTTATTCTCACTGATGGCCCAGGAACCACCCTTGCAAGTCATGACCACCAGCATCATGTAGCACTGGAACTGATCTGGGCAATGACCTCTGTCTAAACTTCTGAATCCCCTCCGACAAAGACCCAAGACAGCAGCATGGCCATGCAGCTGTGCTCACATCTCACCCCTGCACTGGCCAGGAACACATCTATCTTTCCTTTGGGTAGGGTCACCCAACTGCTCTGCCACTTCCAGCTGTGAAAGGCATCTATGTGACAGACCCCTCTGCAGTTTGAAACTGTGTGACAACTTTAACACCCAACTCAGCATCTGCATGGGTTTCTGAGAATTACCTATATCTTTTGTGGTCTCTTTGCTGATTCTCTGTTTCATTAAAAAAAAAAAAAAGTGACTCGTGATCCCTGAGTTCCTATATAGCCAATTTTACTCACTAGCTAAAGAAACACTGTATTTAAAATGACAAACCTAGCAACAATTAGGCAAGCTCTCATCAGGACTCCATGCAGGGCTGTGTGATTGCCTAAAAAAGTCTTCCACAGCGGATCTTGAACTTGGACCATGGGGGCTGCTGCCCACATTGACCTCAGGGGCTGATGGGGGGAAGCAGGAAGGAGTCAACACACTGGAACTGGAGAACATACCCCATGTGGCGTGAACTCATCACCCAAGAAGAAATCTCTGTAACCTACTTGGCTTGCTGTGTGTGCTGGGATGGGAGTCACGGTCTCAGTGATTTTCAAGTGTTCTCTTTCAAGCTTCAGATATCTCATAGGCAGATGACCAGAACTGAACAGTGGAAGGCAGGGCCTTTTTGAGGTGACAATTCTGAGATCAACCTTATTTACCCTTGTGTTGAAGTCTTTGGCATTCTGGGTGATTTTGTAGAGCTGGGGAAACCTGAGCATGCTCTCCCGAGTGCAAGACCTCTGGAAGACTCCCAGAGTGAAAGGAGGCATAGCGGTGAAAATCTGCAGGGAGAACAATAAGCCATTAAGAGTGGCCCTTCCAATTCACATGGCTTCAGTGTTCCCTTCTACCACATGATTTTTTTTTTTTTCAGTTTTACTTTAAGTTGAGGGGTACATGAGCAGGCTTGTTACAAAGGTAAATTCATGTCATGGGGGTTTGCTGTACAGATTATTTCATCACCCAGGTATTAAGCCTAAGTATTCATTAGTTATTTTTTCTTTTTTTTTTTTTTTTTGAGATGGAGTCTCACTCTGTCGCCCAGGCTGGAGTACAGTGGCACGATCTCCGCTCACTGCAAGCTCCGCCTCCCGGGTTCATGCCATTCCCCTGCCTCAGCCTCCGGAGTAGCTGGGACTACAGGCGCCCGCCACCACGCCCGGCTAATTTTTTTTTTTTTTTTTGTATTTTTAGTAGAGACGGCGTTTCACCACGTTAGCCAGGATGGTCTCGATCCCCTGACCTTGTGATCTGCCCGCCTCGGCCTCCCAAAGTGTTGGGATTACAGGCGTGAGCCACTGTGCCCGGCCTAGTTATTTTTTCTGATACTATTCTTCCTCCCACCCTCTGCCCTCTGCAAAGCCCAGTGTACGTTGTTCCTCTCTATGTGTCCATTAAAATCCAGTCAAGTACAAACCATGAGATTCCATGATTCACAATGCCCCAGAACACCCTCCAAAAAAAGAAAATAAAATACCATTTTTATAATAAATCACTATAAGATAAATGCATTGAACACTAAAAGCATCATAAATATTTTATTGGCCATGAAATCTTGTTAAATTAGCAACTACCTTCCCGTGTAAAATGAGGGCTGATGTGGAGTGACACCACCGTTACCTGAGCCAGGATGATAAGGGGGTCCTCTGTGCTTTACCTCTTTAAGGAAAGTAACTCTGAAACAACCAATCACTTTTTGTTCTTTTTCTGTTTTCTTTAGCCCTTTTCTGCCAATAAAGCTAACCCCCCTCTGCTCAGCTTATTGAAGAGCACTCATTGTATTTCATAGAATGAGATGTCAACCAATTCTAGAATGGCCAATAACAGCCAATTAGATTTTAAATTGTTGTAATTTTGTCTTTTGACAGAGGAACGTTCTAGGAACTCCTGGCCTCAAGTGATCCACCCACCTCGGTCTCCCAAAGAGCTAAAATCACAGGCCTGAGCCACTGTGCCTGGGCTCTGGGCACATTTATTAACTTAAACAATGTCTGGAGACATTTTTTATTATCACTGAGGGAAGGGGTGCTATGATGATGAGGTGCTATTGGCCTCTAGTGGGCAGGATCTGGTAAGCATCCTACAATGTACAAGGGAACACCATACACAAAGAATCATCCCATCCAACATGTTGACAATGCTAAGATTGGAAAATCCTTCTCTAGAACCATCCTTAATGCCTCTATATCTTCCACTCATTTCTGAAAAGAGCCTGGTAAACAGATCTACCACAGGCACTAAAGCTAGCTCTTGGAAACAGAAAGAACCCCCTGGCTACTAGCCTGGCCGAAGTAGGAGAATTGCTTGAACATTGGCAGTCTCATGCATAAACTATGAAAATGTCTAGTGTTTTTAAGAATTATAAGAGAATTAAAATGCAAAGAAATAGTTTGCTAAGGATAATGGCAGAGTGTACATGGAGTTAAAGTATTGAAAATTCTCTTTATTATCATCACATGAAAAGACAGATTAAAAGAGTCCTAAGCAGAATATCAACATACCAAAAGTAGCAATGAATAAAAACAAAGTATTATCACAATCAAGTTCAGTTTATCGGACAAATGCAAGGTTAGATTAACAAGAGTAAATAATGTAATGCAATTCAACACAAGTAACAAATGGTTTCTTAAATGATCATCTCAATAGATGCAAAATAAGTAATTTTTACTTTGTAAAATTGAACTTTGATTCACAATGAAACTTTGAGACCTAGTATTAGAAGAGAATTTTATTACTACAATTATAATGGTAGCTCCAGTGATTTTTGCACCTTGGTGTTCTCACTTTGTACACTTCTCTTTCCCTGAATATGACTTGCCTCTGGTGAACAGAATTTTGCAGATGTAGTTAAGCTCTAAAATCAGTTAGTGTTTGGCTCATCAGTAGGGAAATTATCCTGAGTGAGCCTGATATACACTGATATGACAGGCTATTCTTGCTGACTTGATGAAGCAAGCAGCCATGTTGAGGAAATCCACATGGCTAAGAACTGTGACCAGCCTCTAGGAACTGTAGGCAACATTTAGGGCCTGAGATTACCCAGCTAAAAGTCAGGAGATAGCTTGGGATTTCAGTCATACTGTCATAAAAACATACATTTTGCCAGCAAACTTCATGACCTTGGAAGCAGACTCTTTCCCAGTCAAGATTCCAAATGAAAATTCAGCCCAGCTGACACCTTGATTGCAGCCAGATAAGACTGAGCAGAGGACCCAGTTAAGACATGAGCATACTTCTAACCCACAGAAGCCATGATCTCATAAATGTCTGTGGTCCTAAGATGTTATGATTGTGGTGATCTATTATGCAGTCCTGCAAAACTCATACAGTAAACTAAAAGATATATATTATGAAAACAAAAACCCACTATCTACATAGAGATTGAAATATATTGTTTTCCCATTACAATTTCAACAAGATATGGATACCAATTGTACCCACATTTATTCAACATTATTCTTGCAGTAGAAAAAAAAAGAAATAAAACCTCTTGAACTACAAAGAAGACTGTTACTATTTACAGATGGTATGTGTATATAGAAAATCCTAAATATTGTACAGATCAAATATTCAGATAAGAAAATAACAAGGAGTTTAGCAAGACAGCTTAACTAATCAAGTTCAATACACAAAATATCAACTTTATTTCTGTAAGCAAGTAACAAAAAGAAAAAATATATATAAAAATAAAATTTGTGATAGGATCAACTATACCAAATACTTGAGTATAGATGTTAAACTAGGCAAGATCTCTATGTGAAATTTTTTAAAATTAATTAAGTTAATAAGACAATTGAAATATTAGTAGTGTGAGAATACAGTATTATCTCTTTTCTGCCCAAATTATTAACTCAATGAAATTCCAATCAAAATCCTTGCTCTGCAGAGCTTTGTGTATTGATTATAAAATGTATATGGCATTTTCCCTCTCTTCTCTTTCTGAGCATTTTTATTCATGAGCATGGAGATAAAACAGAAAGCTATGGTTGTCCAGAGTGAGGAGTTGGGGCCTGGAGACAATGGGAAAGACCTAAGTGTGGGAGCACCACCCTGCACAATGTTAACAATCAAGTGAGAGCACCCCTGAATGGTGGGTGAAATAGAATAAAATATCAAAAACTGAATAGAGTCAGGAGGCATCCATGCAGAGATGGAGAAGGACAGCCTAGCATGGGTTTTCAGCACCTGAGCAGGAAAAATATTCTGTGTAAAAGGGCAGCTTGGCACAAAATATCTGAGAAAGCATGGGGTGAAGACAGAGGGAAAGCAGCAGAGGTAACCTGATGAAGGATGCTGAAGTCCCAGAGGGAGTGAGTACTCGCCTAAGGGCAGGGACACAAGAGACTGGTCACACAGAATGGTATTGAACAAATAAGTGAGGATAGCAGGTCCTTGAATAATGCCATTTCATTCTAACATGGATGAAAAACAAATCTCATCTGAGGTCTCTGTCTATGAGGAGTTTAAATGTTCTTGTTATGTCTGTATGGGGTTTCTTCAGGGACTCTTCTTTTTGTCCTACATCCCAAAGTTCTGTACATGAGATTAACTGATGTGTCTACGTGGTGCCAGTCTGACTAACAGTGGATGTGTGTGTGAGTGACCCTGCAATGTCATGATGTACATGACGTTGCTTACAAGTTTGATGTAGGACAATTAATCCTTTTCAAACACTTCTAATTTAGATTAAATCACTGACCAGCATTAACAAAGAAACTCTATAATAATAGGGTTCCCTCCTGGCACCCAAAACTGCCAGGAGAAGCTCCTGCCATCTGCAAACCTGAACTGCAATAAGCAGGTTGGAAAAGGATCAAGTGAACGAATGGAAAGTACTGTAAAATAAAAATCTGTGAGAACTATGATAATCACACAAATGCTGTTGTTGACAATGATGCCATACAAAAGCACTCTGTGAGGCTGACATATTTGTGACTGTTTGTTTCTGAACTGCATAATGGTAAGTGGTGCTCCTTACAATCTGCAATCTACTGACGTTGATTGCTTGATGGAACCCACCACCACTACAACTGCCATCACTCGGTGGTTCGCCAGAAATTGAGAAAAAATATCTACTTATTTTTATTAACCTTTAAAAAATATATATAAAGCACACATTGATTTCAATGTTTACTGTTTGTTACAAGTGTTTTGGGTCCTTACTTAGAAGTTCAGTGATGTTTCTGTGACCAGAAATACATCATAGGAATGTCACTCTTATTTATGTCAGTTAGCCTATGGTAAAAGTGGTTTTATTATACGTCTTTCACTTAAGCTCAGTTCCAAGACCTATTGACCACGTTAAGTAAGGACTTACTACATACTAAGCATGAAAGGAGACAGGTTACTGTCAGAGACAGGAGTTACAAATGCAATTGACCCTCGAATGACATAGTGTGAACTGCATGGGTGCTCTTGTTAGCAGATATTTTTCAAGAAATATAAAAAAATTTGGACGCCGGGCACGGTAGCTCACGCCTGTAATCCCAGAACTTTGGGAGGCCGAGGCGGGCGGATCACGAGGTCAGGAGATCCAGACCATCCTGGCTAACACGGTGAAAACCCGTCTCTACTAAAAATACAAAAAAAAAAAAAAAAAAAGGTGGGCGTGGTGGCAGGCGCCTGTAGTCCCAGCTACTCGGGAGGCTGAGGCAGGAGAATGGCGTGAACCCAGGAGGCGGAGCTTGCAGTGAGCCGAGATCGTGCCACTGCACTCCAGCCTGGGCGACAGAGCGAGACTCCGTCTCAAAAAAAAAAAAAAAAAATTTGGAAATTAATGGCAATTTGAAAAAAACTGTAGATGAACCAAATAACCTAGAAATAGCAAACAAAAATATTTATACAATTACTAGTCTATTTTATCATTGCTACCATGAAATATACAAAATCAATTATAAAAAGTGAAAATTTATCAAAATGTGTGCATACAAAGAACACGATGCCAGCTTCAGCTAAGAGAAATGTAAACAAGCATAAAAATGCAGCATTAAATTGTAACTGCAAAAAGTTAACTTTAGTATGTATTGTACTGCTATAGTAAGTTTATGCCCACCTGGTACTGTTGCAGTGAGCTCAAGTGTTGGGTGTATCAGCTCAAAACACCATGTGATGCCAATCATCTCCACAGGAGCAATTTGTTTACCTAGAAAAATGTGTCATACAGTAAAAGGTGATTTCTCATGGTTCTTGCCTGTTTTCCATCATTTTTTTGTAATACCATGAACCTCGAAACATGTGAAGTGCCACTATTGACGCCATAAGTGCTCCAATGATGTAAAGTCATGACTTTTTTATATGAAAAAGCTGAACATTTCTCCAAAGAAAAAGCTTTGAAAAATATTAACAAGTCATAACCTATTAAACAGAATGAACCATGAATCCATACTGATACAAGTAAATGAATAACTTGAAGGTTTGAAGAGAAAGAGATATTTACATAGTCTCAAATGAACTCCCTACAAAATAGTAATTCATTAAAAAGTGAAAAAATAACATGACAGAGGAGATGTTCAGCAGATACCACCATTAGAAATAAAATCTAGCATCACCAGTAACAGACCAAATCAAAACTGTGGTCCAATGATAGGATGCAATAAGATCACAGGAGCATTTTGGTGATAGCCATGTTCAAAAAGTATGATATAAAACTAATTACAAGGAAACATTACAAAAACTCAATTGAAGAACATTCTGCATTACTAAACTTTATCTTCTAAAGATTCAACGTCATGAATATCAAGACTGAGAAACTGCTACAATTGAAAGTCTAAGAGATACAGAAGCTAAATATAACTGATGTCTCTGAATGGAATCTTTTGCAACAAGGAATATTATAGACAAGTAATAAAACTTACCAAGAATCTAAGAATTAAATCTTAGAATGTATTAATGTTAAATTTCTGTGAGATTATATTGTAGTCACGTAGAATGTCCTGACTTGTAGGAATACCCACTAAGGAAATCAGAAATCACGGTAGAGCGTCAGCAATTTACTCTCAAATGGTTCAGAGAAAGAAAGTTCTTTGTAGTAAAGCTTGAAACTTTTCTTTAATTTTAAGACTGTTTCCAAAAGCTAACCAAAAAATAAATAAGTAAGTAACATAAAAGGTGAAAAGTCTTAGGAAAACCTTATTTTTTCATGAGGAAAGATCCATATAAATCAGCACTTAAAATTACATAAATTTGATGGTATGGTGTCAATTGCATTACATGCAACCACTGACAATGACCACAGTACTAATATACCAAAATGATGTCAGTTGAAATCTAAATCTATCACTGTAATTGTAATAAAAATTACAGGATACAAAGCACTAATAACAACTTGGTAGTTTTGCTTGTTTAAATAGCTGCCTATTGAATCATTTGAGTATGTAAAACTCAATAATACAGGATTTTATTTGTAAGATCCACTAAAAAGTTTGTTAAAGAGGCTTAGAAACATGGTTTAAAATGCCATATAAATTTTCATCAGACATATATGATATAAAAATATTATCCTTTTTAAGAAAAAATTTTATATGTTTTATGTTAAATTAAAAAATCATTAAAAGCTCAAGTAAGCATTCCAGTAATAAAATATTACAATTTTTTATATTATATAATTTTAAAAATAAAAGTTAGTACCTTTTTTTTCTGATGCTTTACTAACTTCATCTTTTAGATTTAAATCATTAGTAGATCCTAGAGGAGCCAGTTTCAGAAAATATAGATTCTAGTTCAGCACCACCTGGAAAGAAAAATATTTATGTTCTTTACCTAAAAGATTTTATGTAAACTAAGTGGAAGTCAGGAAAAAAGAGTTGAGAACCTACTCTGTGTTAGTGAGAATAAAAAAATGTATATATAACTATGATACAAAATTGCTGTTAAATAAAACTCACCCGTAGTTGTGCATTGAAATAATTATCATTATGATTATGTATCAGAGCTTCTGGTTTTCTCATTCTTTATTCATTTATTCAACAACCACGTGACAAACACTGGAATTACAGGATGAAGATGAGATAATCCGCTCCTTGGCAGTGTTATACTATTATATAACCTGAAAAAACAAACAGGTAATTTTCACACAAAGTAATAGATATCATGACACATTTAAAATAGGGCACTACTGGAACACACAGATAGGACATCCAGGTTTTGGGTCAATATTGTAGACTTTTTGGTGGATGAGATATGCAGGTTGATACCAGAAGGACAACAAAAACATATGTCAGATAGAAGGGAGGAGCAAATGCCAAGAGCTGGAGCTGAGGAAGATCACTGTGAAATTCTATGTAGTCTAGTTGGCTGGATGCTAGAGCAAAGAGGTGGAGTACTAGTAAGTGGTAAGAAAAAGCTGAATAATTTGACAACAACCAAATTGACTTGGGCATTTTTATTGTATTCCAAGAAATGTAGAATATTTCCTGAAGACAAAAGTCAACCAATGACAAAGTCAAAGACTGGAGATTTAAAATGTCACCAGTCACGTGACTGCTTATGAACTATGACTGTTTGGCTATGCATTACAAGATGAGTCTTGGGTCTGTTGGCCTTAAATCACTACCATAACCTTGAGAAGAGAATGATGCCTTTGTTTTCTCAAAACAACTGCAGTGTGTAGGCTAAAAGTTCCACAGGGATGGCAGAGAGTTAGAGCCAAAAACAGATATGCCGACTACTTGAGACTTTTCTAAATATATGGAACATGACAAATTAATGAGGCATAAATATACTCTTAATTATGAGTATGTGTTTATATCTTTCATTAAATATGTGTACAAAAATAATTAGCATACTATCTATTAAACAAACAATAGCCAACTGATGTACTTATCAATTAATGAAACTGTAAATAGCCATTTCCTATTTACCGTTTATTTTAGAAACCAATTAATAAATCTGAATTGAATTAATAAATTTTGCAATGTACCTTTCTCCTGTTCTAGTGGTATTTTCTGCCACTCCTGCTGCATTTTAAATAAGTCAAATATTATCTATAATGTTTAATTTTAAGAAGAGAAACTATCCTGAAAATGATGTCTCACTTACAGAATTGTGCCCTTTAGTACTTTCAGAGACTATACCTAACATGAGAATTGCTTAAATAGAAAAACACAATCACATAAATAACCTAAAATTCTTACTTATTTTAGATTTAGATAATAGAGACTATACACGTGTAGTGCTGTTAAACCTGAGAAAAAATTACAAATAATATTGGTCTATGAGTTTTTCTCTTACTACTACAAAGGTTAGAGAATTTAATTCGTATTTTGCAATGAATGCATTTCTTTCTAATTCTTAGCAAAACTCTGTCCTTTATTAAAGTTCAGTTTTTTCACTTCAATAGGTTTTTCCTTAAATTAACTTTCCATTCTCCTCCTTCAGAAAATTTACATTTCAATGTATGTTCTATGTTATCAACTTTTCAGCACAGAACCTTAAATACACACACGAAGAAAGTGGTACTCACATAATATCATGAGAAAATTGGACTGGCAAGAGAATAAGTAAAAATATCATGTGATCTACATTATGATTGATATTTCTTTATATAAACACATAGATTTCAGAAAATTTGATTGAAAAAAGGATAAATATAGGTAGAACCAGTTTTCAATGTTAGCTTGATTCATAACTTTCTAGAATTAGAAAGAAGGAAAGTATCACGTAGCTGCATAGTTGTAACTTTGATGTCTTTTCAGAAATTAGTATCAGTTTTAAGAATTATTTAATTATAGTTTTCTACTTAATTATGAAATGTGTGGGATTATTTCAAGCTCCATTGCAAGTGTTTCCATCTGGAGTGTTCCTCTTTACATCTTTTGTATAAGAGGTATTCTCTCCCCGTATGCCAACAAGGTCTGAAATTGTGTACTGCACATACTGGACATTTTATTACCAATGATAATATGATACTTAAAGCCTTCACCATTTTCGGACAAACATGTTTTCCCATATTTGAGAGACTGTACTTCATAACACATCTGTGACTATAATGTTACAGACATGCCTGGTAAATTTAATAATGTGACAATACACATTACTAGAGAGGTCTTGTAAAGGAAATAACTCAATATCAGATAAAGGAAGGAGGCTTTACTGGAAGAATATTATATTACCTTTAATAAACACTATGAAAATATACATTTTCACGTGACTTCAACTAAAAAACTACTAAGGTAATGCTATTATCTTTTCCCCAAAAGCTCTTGTTCTAAATATTTAATTCCTACATGTAATAGATTACATTACTTCTTTATAGCCTGTTTATGAATATTTTTAGATAACACAAAAATTTGATTAGGTAAATATCAAACACGTTTCTCAACAGATAGTCTAATTTTGTACTGAAGAAATATGAACTCTGTAGAGAATACTTTCTTTTAACAAGTTTAAGTGACGCCATTTTTTACCCTCCTAACTCTCAAAAAATAAATGGTAGGAGAGATATACCTAATGCTAAATGCTGAGTTAATGGGTGCAGCACACCAACATGGCACATGTATACATATGTAACAAACCTGCACATTGTGCACATGTACCCTAAAACATAAAGTATAATAATAACAAAATTTAAAAAAATAAATAAATGGTAGAAGGAGCTGCCTCTCTTGCAGTGCTGAAGTGGCCTCTCCCTGCATAAATTATCTTCCAGCCTTTGACTGACCTTTGAACACTTTACCCCACAAAGAACTGCTGAGGGTAACTTCCTTTGAGAAAGTGATACCAGGTCAGATGTGAATGCTCAGAGAGAAAAGGGACAAATCCAAAACATGGGGAAGAAGCTTCTGTATGAGGGCATCCAGAAGCTTAGGGAAAGGGTCTTGGATATTGATGGCTCCACCTTTACTGTTATTATTATTATTGGCTGTAGAAAGAGTTGGGTAATTTTATGCATATTTTCAAGTATAAACTTTTCAATGTTACATGACTTTTTATAAGTCCCTTTCAATTTTGTTCTTTCTTTCCTATTAAATCCACACATTTTCTCATATTTCTTTTAATCAAAATTCAGAATTATTATTTCCATTCAAGAGACCACATACAGTACCTGGTACAAATTATGGAAGGCAAAAGGAGATAAAATTGTCTTCATGACATCAATCACTGTTCTATTCAGCAAGAAAAGGTTGTCATTGATGGCTTCGAGGTGTGTATAGCTTATGAGATATTAAACATTGCCAGAGCAAATACAAAAGGTTAATAAACTGCTAACCTAATTTTATGAATAACACTAAATCAAAAGTTATGTTAGCTCCTTATAGGGTAAAATATGTAAATACTACACTGACTTTTTTTTTCTTTTTAAATAGAAGGTGAGAAAATTATACATGGGAGAAAAAATGTATCCACAATTTTTAGGAAATTAGCAAGGCTCTCGCATAAACAATAGTTTTTAAACGATGTCCCATAGAAATCTAAGGTACTACAGAGGACATAGCAGTATTAAGGGATAATGAAGTCACAGCTTCAGAGCCTCCATCCTTTCTTTAGCAAGTTAGCTCTACTTGTATCTGTTCTGTTTTATATAATATGGTTGCATCTAACTGTTTTTAAAAAAAGTTCTGTTCTTCAAAAAAATTTTAAGCTATGAAAATCACTGATTAAGTCAAACCCTCATTTTACAAAAGAGGCAACACAAACTCAGAGCACTTATGCCTCACCATAGGTCACAAAGCCAAGTAGCTCCAGGCCAGAAATGGGCTTTAGGTCTTCCGTCTGAGACTGGCATTTGATGCCAGTGATTTCCTCCATATTTAGGAGAAATGTATAGATTTTAAAATATAACTCAGAGAAAATGCATGCATATGGTAAAACTGTCTTCTAGCTCAATCATGTTTAGGTGCAACAGGTTAAAAAATAGTTCTCCAGCTAAATTGTGAATCCTAAAATTAGAAATACAAAGTAAGCAATAGAAACTAATATCATAACATCAGTGAGTGGTAGTCAATATAATCTATTTGTAAAGAACAAGTTTGTTAAACTCCAGAAAAAGGAACTCGAAGGAGAAAAATGTTATCAAGCCAGGTGATATTGAGAAAATTCTTTTTTAGAAAAACTATTAATTTTCTCCAAATAGGACTTGGCTTACCAAAATCAATTAATAAATGAATTATCCATGTTCTGGGTTATTTTTAGCAAAATTGAAGACACAAAACATATTTCTCTTTGCCATCTAGCATACTTCTATCTAACCTCTTGTCATTAATTGGTACACACAAAGACAAACCTGAACTTAATTTCAAGGAAAACTTAAACCCATGCACAAATAATTGGTGAGCCTTCATTTCCCTGACTTCAAGTTTCCATGTGAGGACTCATGCTCTCTCCACTTTCTTCTTGGGAGGAGGGAAGATTTACCTAATGGGTAAATTTGGGCAAAGCACATTGAGTGTGCTTGTTTGGCTCTGAGTCTCTTTGCAAACATGTGTCTGCCCACAGTGACATGAGTTTGCGTTGACTGTCATGTCTGCAGGAAGCTGCCTGCTCCTGTGGCCATGTCAAGCAATTCTTTCTTTCAACTGCAACTGTGTGTAAGAGCTTAGTCTGAGAAGAAATGTTCAGAAGCTCACTGTGGCTGCACATCTGAGCCATGTCTTCCCATTAGTTGTCATGAGTCAGCAATAAAGCGGGTATGTTGATGTCTATCAATCTAATTCCTATGTTCTGAACTCAGGGAAAGAAATAGGAGAATCATTTGCAGCCTACCTCACCACAGCCCCACCAAGATGGCTACATAATACTTGTAAAAATGTTTCCTACTTCCTTGACTTTGTAACTTTATATTCTTCAACACAACCCCCATGTTAACAATAGGAAGGGCTGGAAGAAACTGAAATCAGGCCCGGCGCGGTGGCTCACGCCTGTAATCCCGGCACTTTGGGAGGCCGAGGCAGGCAGATCACGAGGTCAGGAGATCGAGACCATCCTGGCTAACACAGTGAAACCCCGTCTCTACTATAAATAAAAAACTTAGCTGTGCTTGGTGGCGGGCGCCTGTAGTCCCAGCTACTCGGGAGGCTGTGGCAGGAGAATGGCGTGAACCTGGGAGGCAGAGTTTGCAGTGAGCCGAGATTGCGCCACTGCACTCCAGCCTGAGTGACAGAGCGAGATTCTGCCTCAAAAAAAAAAAAAAAAAAAAAAGAGAATGAAATATAGTGAAATCAATCACAATAGTAAAGCCCAACAAATACAATATTCACTATTTCAACAACACAACAATAACTTAGTGACAGGCTACTGTTACATTATACTTGATATTATAAGTTTAAAATATTGCTGTATTGTCTTTTGTCTTTTTGAGACCAATTTGATAAATACATATACATCACACACATACTTTTCCATAATTAATATATTTTCAAGTAACCATGTTTTTAAAGTAAAATGTAATACCATTCTCTATTTTAAGGAGTACTCAAGTTTTATGACAGTAATCATGCACTCCCATGTAGCATAATCAAATAAGTTTGCACATTCAAACCACTGCAATTCAAGATAAAAATATCAATAGTTTAATGTCTGAAGGCAATTATACTTGGTGGTTTGTGAGTATTAAATACGTGCACTGTGTCACAGAGAAAGAAACTGGGCAACACTTAATTGACCAAAGAGCTGATAGATTAAGCATAGATCCACACATATATTTAAAGACCTTGTGGGGGAAAAATGAATAAAAGAAGAATTAGAAGAATTTGAGAAACTATCTGAAACAATTCTTAGGATAAAATGAGGAATTTGCATTTGGCTAAGTAGATAAAAAAGTGGAGACAGGAGAAATTATATAGAGCCTAAAACTGTTGTAGTAAGTTTCTCAAACTCTGTATTTGCCTTATGAATGATTGCCATAACTATTATTATAGTTTGATTAGAGTTAAAATTCAGGGTAGACAGGCGCTTCCTTGGTGATGCAAACAGGACTATTTTGTTTGGGAAAAACTGCAACTCAACACTGTGGAAAAAGCGCAGTTCAACATTCTGATATGACACAATGTTCCACCATGTGACACAAAGTTCCACCATGTGGCACAACTTTCCACCATGTGACACAATGTTCCACCATGTAAAAAGTTACAGTCTTAGGAATACGGTTTTAGCTTGGACATATCTATATAACTACATTTAGAAAAGAAGTTGCTAAACTGAATGAACATTTGAGAAATAGAAAAGTTACTTAAATAAATTATTAGAAAATTTTTGAGTCAGTAATGCACCAGAAGTCCAAAACCAATCAATGTAGAAATGAGTCTTCCTATCTCAAACATCTAATAATACTATGAGAGGTGGCACAGATTATCTAAAATAATACAATTTTTGGAGGGAGCATTACAAACAAGAAGACATTTAGACATCCATCTCAAACATTTAAAAAACATGTACCAAGTGACTACTGGGTGCCATGAATTGTCTTAGACACACAGGTACTATATAACTTTCAAACCTAAAAAAAAACTTTAAACCAGCTAAGTCTTATCTTTCATTAATGTGGAATAAATCTTTATGATTTCATTTATTACAAAAACATTCTGTATGCAAAAGGATCCAATGACTGATGTATTTTTGAAGCTAATTTTAATTTTTGAATTTTATAATATAATTTTTTAAAGAACCAATCAAATTATAAAATTCCTTCTCATATATAGAACAAAGCATCTCAGAATTCAAATAAAAAAACAAAGTAAAAGTTTGGAAAAAGTATACGTAGTTATCTATGATAGCTATAATAGTGTTAAGTGGTAAGGCTAAACTTCATGTGTTGGTGACAGGTGCAAGAACTGGCAAATGACATCAACATAGAGAACACTGGCTTTGACATCCAGCACAACTTCAATCACATGCAACAAAAATGATGTATTATAATCAGTTTCTTTATAGTTAAAAAAGCTGTATAAGATAGTCCTTCAAATTAACAATATTCCCAAATATTACAACCTTGCAAATAAAGAAGATAAATTCAGTATCAATGCTATTTTAACATATTTTATGTTAGATTAGATATTTTAACATTTTGCTTTCTAGAATTATAGCCAAAAATGTCTAAATGTCTTCTTGTTTGTAATGCTCCCTCCAAAAACCCACCTTTTGTATTATTTTAGATAATCTGTGCCACCTCTCAAAGTAGTATTAGATGTTTTTCTAGTAGAAATAATTAAATTTTAGCAACTCTAGTAGGCATCTTCTTTCTGTATCTCTAAGAATTTTGTAAACAATTACATAAAGAAGGTATGAAAACATGTCACTGAATCTTCATAGAATTATTAAGTCGAACATGATTTGGCAAACCAATTGTGCACAAAGAAACCCTGCACTCCTTGGAAGTACTAATGAAGTTTAAAATGAACTGTCTTTCAACATATCCGGAAATACTAAAAATAAATAGCACTTTGCCCGCTAAAAACTAAGAGAAAATATTTTCTCAAAAATCTTTGCCTGCACTGCATTTGTATTTATACATGTTTTCATTATCTTGTAAAATAATACATGAGCTGATTATTCTGGAAAAAAACAGATAAGAAAATTCATATGTGCATCATGACTAACACTTCACAGTAGTATTTAACATTCTTCCTCTTTTTGTACACAGAAGTGCAGTTTTATGACCCTGAAGCACTTAGACCCTGACCATATCACTCTTTTTCCAGAAAAATAAAACTAAGCTATCAAAATAATTAAAAACTCAGCTAGCTGGGATCATCAAATTTATGTATTAAAACAATCATTTAATTGTTCCCATTTGGCAGCAATGCTGTCTGAGAAAGCTTAGATTTGCTCCTCTAGAATTTTTTAGAATATGAAGCCAGGTAAAGAAAAAACATTTCATTTAACATAAGCATACACTATTTTTCTCTGCATTAAAGAGATTATGAAATCACCATCAAAACTATAAGCCAATGTGCATTGATTGAAATGGGTATTTTAGTGACAGTGATACACAGTGAAAACTATTTGCTACCTATTTATTTTAGTCCAAAAAATTCTGGGTTTTTAAATAATTTATTTTGTTTTTTTTTTTTTTTTAACAGGGGCTATGTTGCCCAGGCTGGAGGGCATTGGCTATTCATAGCTGTGATTATGATACACTACAGCCTTGAAATCTTGGGCTCAAGTGACTCTTTTGCCTACTCAGCCTCCTAAGTAGCTAGGATGACTGCATATAGTTTTAAAATTTTTACCCCAGACAAAAAATGGAATCTCTCTCTCTCTCTCTCTCTATTTATATATATATATATATATATATATATATATATATATATAAAACCAATGCTTCAATTTATACATCTTGTCATTGCTGGCATCATTTTGGGATCTCCAGAAATTGATTCTTACTATGAGTAAAATCACCTGGTTGGATTGAATGATGTCTGCTGCATCATCAGGGTAGATGGGAATCCTGTGCAGCTTTATGCAATTCTGGGTAGAAAGAAGATAATGGCTTATGTGTGGTTGTAGTTGCTATTAAAAGACTCAATATCATCGCCGTATTAGTCATCAATAATTCAAGTGATAGACATACATAAGTGAACATCATTTTAAAAATTCAAAGAGTTGATTTAGCTATTTTCAAGCTATTGTAAAATTGCACAGCAATAATAGACACTTTACAAAAACTGAGGGAAAAAGTGATGTAGGTATAGTGGCAATTAAAGATCCAGTCTTGTGTTAAAAAAAAAACAAGACTTTTAGCTTTAAAACAAAACAAAAATGAATCATTTAAGTGTTCCATGTTTATTTACTTCATAAATGTATTTATTTTAGATTACTTTAAATAATGAACATCTACATGTGATTAAGTGTTTGGATGTCAAACATTCACTTCTGATTAGGGGTGCAAAACTTGAGATGGTACAGGAAAACATTAGAAGTGTTATGAAGCACAGCCAAACTCAAACCAATCAGAAAATAAGCCAAAACATCTCAAAGTATATATTTAGTTACTAGGAAATAATATTCCCTTTCTAAAATGTAACTTAAATGCAGTTTTTAAAGCAATTCAAAATGTGTTATTTTAAGTTTATTGAATGAAGTTAACAAATGGGTATTTCATGAAAATGAGAGCTCCAGGGACTTTTAGAAAATTGTAAAATTTCTGTTTTCTTTCTTTGTTAACGCAGGTAATGTTGACCATTATTTAACACACGTGAGTCAATTAACTCAGTATTTCACCTACTTAAAAACAAGAATTGCATCAGAAATCTGAAAAACAAAGGAAGACAGATAATATAACTAACCGTGAACAAGTAATTCTTCACACTGTTATTTTATGTCTGTAGGCTTCAGGAAGAAATCATGAATTTTTCTTCTAAAATAAGTATTCTGTTGACACAGACTATTGGTAAGATTTTCAACATAAGGTGATGCTAGGACTGGCCTCCTAGCATGAGTTGTGAGTAAAGATCTGGTCTGTTGTTTCTCCAAAAGAAGTTTCTTACTGCTTGTCTCTCATGAGTTCTGTGAAGATTGCAAAAGGAAAATGCTTAGTATTTTATTTTTTCCTACATAATTAGAAAAGGACTTGTATTTAAAAAGAAAACCCTTCTATAAGAATAAATAACATTTCCCATTAAGCCGTGCTTTAACAATGAAGATGTGTGAGAGCATGCCTAGTGTATGCAATTATAGGTTTTAAATTGTTCTTAAAAAGTACAAATATTTTTAGGAGGATTTCTAACAAAAAGTTTTTTTTTTGCCGCCATGACTATTTCACTATGTAGAAATATATCAAAACATCATGTTGTATTTCTTGAATATGTGCAATTAAAAAACTAAAATTAAAAAAGCTATAAATATGTGTTTATTAAACCAGTTTAAAGATTTTTAAATATTATCCCTCAAAGATATTTTCAGGCATTTAACATTTCTTGTACATTTTCACTCATTATTTGGGATCCATTAAGCATTTGACACTGAGAAGTAATTCAGACAAACAACTCCTAGGGGAGACAAAGATAGCTGAGTGAGAGATCAAAAAGAACTAAAGCAGCTTCAAAGACAATTAGCTACTAACATTGTGACCAAGGCATCGGAGGTGGGGCCTGTGCCTTCTGTCTTCCACACAAACCTTCAGGCTAACCAAGGTGTTATTTTTAACCATTTTGTGAATTGTACATCCCTTAATCTCTGTATTATTAATTCCCCATTTCACAAGGATGCTTTTATAAAGAATGAAAAAAACTATACAGGGTGTTTTCTCAGGGTGCTGTCTAATGATAATACCCAAGACCACTATCAAAGAAAGTTAATTTACCAAGTGTCAGAAAGTGAAATGTAGTAGTAATTGTACATGACCATTTTGGTCTCAATTTTAATCCTCTAAACAATAGTTAAACTTATTAGTATTTCTATTTGGGGACATGCTGAAAAGCCATTTAATGACAATACTACTGTCAAATTAAATGCTTCAAAAATACTTAGCTGAAAGGCTAACAGATCAGGTTGACTAGTGTGAATCTGAAGGGGAAAAAAGCCATATAAAACCAACAAATGCGGAAGAGACATAAACTCTCCTGGACAAACACTTTGAAGGTCAGTTCATTTACTAACATCATGTTTCCATAATTATATTATCTAGTTAACTTCCACTTCCCACTGATGTTGTGAACCTGTCTCACTAAAAATTAAACTTTTGAGGCAAATTAATGAGCTTAATTTACTTTCTATAATTATATTTTGACTGACTTGTTTAGTTCATTTGACAACAAATCCCTAAATTTTAATTCCTCTAAATAGAGGTGTTTATATTTTTCTGATTCTGTTTTATTAAAGTCTTCTACAGTTTTCATTTTGGAGAGTTCAGATTGCAGATCTTTAACTATCACCTCCATCTTATTTATTGAAACAATATCATGCTCTCTTAAGTGCTATAGGTTTTCTTGAGTTTCTGCTTGTGTCTAAACAAATTAAAAGTACAGTAACAAACAATTTAATTGTACATTTAAAAATAACTAAAAGAGTAAAATGAATTTGTTTGTAACACATTGGATAAAAGCTTGAGGTGACGAATACCCCATTTACCCTAATGTGATTATTATGCATCTGATGCCTGTATTAAAATATCTCATGTAACCCATACATACATATATGGATATATATATACACACCCTACTGTGTACCCACAAAAATTAAAATTAAAAAGAAAACAAATCAAAAGGGTACATTTTAAGGTAATTATAAGCTGCATAATTATTGTATATTTGTTTCCTTATAAGTCAGTGATTCAGAAAGCAATTTTAAATACGTGAAAAAGAAGCTGAAGCTTGAAATACTTATCAGCAATGTTTACTAAATTGATAATAGCTAATAACTAGATAGGAGGATGAGTTCTGGTGTTCTGTGGCATTGTAGAGTGAATACAGTTAACTATAATTTATGATATGCTTCCAAAACCTAGAAGAGAGGATTGGAAATGTTCCCAACAGAAATAAATAATAAATGTTTGAGGTGTTGAATATATTAGTTATCTTGATTTGAGCATTACACATTGCATACATATATAGAGGAGATATCATTGTTACTCTACATCCCATAAACGTGTATGTACATGTCAACTAAAAATATAAAACAATTCATCTCATTAAAAAAATAATAACATGGGCCAAACTTAGTGACTTACTGCTAATGAATAGAATGTGGCCTGACCATCCTCACTCAAAACAGGAGAAGGGGGTACCAAGGGCAAGCAGTTTGAGATAGAGAGCCTTTTCTAAACTAATGTTGCAAATCTCACGGTATACCTCTTACCATATTCCATTTTTTTCAAAGCAAGTGCCATTTATGAATGCCTAGAAGCTCCAATGTAGGTGATCTGGCTGCCTGCCACAGCCAACATTCTAGGCAATGGCCAGCATTAACAACAAGACATATAGCTGAGCAAACCTTCAGATTACTGTAGTTTCCCAGTCTTTGAGCTGTCCCCAGGCAAGTTAAGAGGAACAGTGACAAGCTGTCCTGGCCGAGCTTTTCCCAAATGGCAGATTAATTAGTAAAACAAATGTTGTTGTTTTAACCCACTAAATTGTGGGCAATTGTTAGGAAACAATAAAAAGAAAATTTGATTTAAAAAATGACAATAGAAAACTTACACAGTAGAAATTAGTCACCTTTAAAGTACAATCTAATAGAGGTTGATATTAATTTATTCATGACAAACAATGCTAATGAGAAGCAGTAGAAAAGTAGCAGACAGACATAAGAGCTACTGAGGAGAAAGATTTCCTAAAATTCCTTTTAATTAAAAATTCTTATTACTAGGCAAGTGTGCTTCTTTAGGATTTCCCCTCAAGTTAGGAAATCAGTAAGACAGGGAAGCAAAGAGGCAAGTTGTGAAGCGCAACAGCTGGAAAATTAAAAATATTTGGTTTAACAATCAAAATCAGATGTTATCTGATTTCATAGAAGTAAAATCTTCAGAAAGCTAAGCAGTATTGAGTATTTATTAATCAATCTGGCATTCACTATTCATTTTCCTTTCTTCAATGAGAAAATAAAGAGAACATTGTAGAATCATTTTTAATCATCTCAGAAGTAAAATAAATGTAGTGGGTTTGAATGTTAATAAATTAAATACAATTTCTCCTTCACTGTACTTCAAGTTTGTCTATATGAAGAAGTTAACCATTTAATCTTTATGTTGTACCACAATGCTTCTTCATATCATACAACAAAATTAGCTTTGATATTTTGAAATTCAAACAACTAATTTCACTATTATTTGTCTCTTATAAATTGCCTAAACATAACCTGATTTTTTAGTGCTGCACTTCTGAAACTTTTTCTTTGAATAGCATAAAATATTTATTCCAAAAAATATGTATGAAGCTATAAAATATAGCTGTGCATCTTGACCTATTTAAGCAGAGGGAAGTAATTACAGAGAATGGTGACTTCTGGGAATGCAGGAACTGTACCAAGAAAAGATCATCCCAGGTGTTATACACAAGAATCAGGTGCCAGGTCAAAAGAGGATCTACCTGTGAACTGCAAGATGATGAATTAGCTCCATTTCCAATAAGAAAAGCTTACAGTCTGGACTGACTCTTCTCTTCCCAGGATGGATAACATCTACAGATGATTGTACAAATTACAATGAGTTAATAGAACCTAATGCATGAAATAGTAGACTGTCAGATGATGTGACCAAGATTTGATAGAAATGGGACTCAAGAGAGAGGCAGTCAATGAGAGACTAAAGGTTTGAATAGAGAAACAAAGGAATGGACTCTTGTCTTTGTAAGCTTGACTTCCCATCAAGTCATGGAGTCAGCAGTGCATAAGCTGGCCATGGGCTCTTTCAAGAAACAAAAAGTAAAGATGTTTCTCTATACTGAACTTTTATCATGTATGATAATATATAACTGGTAATATGCAACATGATTGAAAAAGAGTTCTCATATAAGTTGATTTGGTACTGGCATAAGAATAGAGAGATCAATGTTTTAGAATTTAGAATCCAAAAACAGACCTGCACATGTATGGTCAATTGATTTTCAGCAAGGATAACAAAATGACTACATGGGAAAAGAATAGTATTTTCAACCAATGGTTCTGGGACAAATGGATATCCATATGCAAAAGAAAAAAGTTGGAGTCCCACCAAATACTGTATTTAAAAATTATCTCAAAATAAAATAGCTAAATTTAAGAGCTAAAACTATAAGTTTCTTCAAAGAAAAGACAGGAATAAATCTTTGTGACTACATTTGGCAGTGGCTTCTTAGATATAACAACTCAAAATATGGATTAACATTAGAATTTAAAACTGCTATGCTTGAAAATATACTAACAGTAAAGTAAAAAGGCAAGCACTGAGTAGGAGAAAATATTTGATAACTGTATTTCTGATAGAAAATTTATATTTAGGATATATAAAGAACACTTACCATTCAGAAAGAAACAAGATGGCCCAATTAGAAAATGGGCAAAGGATGGAAAGAGACATTTCTCCAAAGAAGATATACACATGGCTAAGATGCATGTTTTAATTAAAACATCCTTAAAATTATCAGTCATTAGGGAATGCAAATAAAACCACAGAGGGGTGCCACTTCCCACCACTAGGATGGAATCTTTCCTGGTAAAAATGTGGAGAAATTAGAACCCTCATACTGCTAATGAAAAATGGTATAGCTGCTTTGGAAAATGTACTGGCATTTCCTCCAAAAGTTAAACATAGACTACCATATGACTCAGCAATTCCACTCATAAGTATACACCCAAGAGACATGAAAACATATGCAAACACAAAAACTTATACCTAAAAGTTCATAGCAGCACTATTAATATTAGCCCAAAATGGAAACAACCTAAAGATCTATCAACTGATGAGTGGGTAAATAAAATGTTTGATGTATCTAGACAATGAAATATACTCAGCAGTAAGAAGAAATTAAGTGCTGATACTTGCTGCAACAGAGGACCTTGAAAATGTTATGCTATAGCATCTGCATGTGAGATGGGTTTCCACACTGATGGGTCTTGACTCTTTATCCAATTTGCCATGGATGAAGCTGGAAACCATCATTCTCAGCAAACTATTGCAAGGACAAAAAACCAAACGCCGCATGTTCTCACTCATAGGTGGGAACTGAACAATGAGAACACTTGGATACACAGGAAGGGGAACATCACACACCGGGGCCTGTTGTGGGGTGGGGGGAGGGGGGAGGGATAGCATTAGGAGATATACCTAATGTAAATGACGAGTTAATGGGTGCAGCACACCAACATGGCACATGTATACATATGTAACAAACCTGCATGTTGTGCACATGTACCCTAGAACTTAAAGTAAAATTATATATATATATATAAATAAAAAGAAAATGTTATGCTAAGTGAAAGAATCCAGTCACAAAAGGCCATGTACTGTGATTTGAACAAGATAAAGCTTCCAGAACAGACAAATATATACAAACACAGTAGATCGGTGGTTCCCTAGAACTGAGCAAGGAATGGGAAACTGGTAGGTGACAAAGAATGCCGAATTTTTTTTTAGACTGATAAAAATATTCTAGAATAGATTGTGGTGACGATTGTATAATTCTGTGAAAATACTAAAAGCTACTGCAAAGAGTGAATTGCATGGCATGTTAATTATATCTCACTAAAATTGTTACCGAGAAAATCAATTTGATACTAGTGACTTGAAGTCATCATAGGATGGCGTACTGCTTGCTTTTGTATCATTGGCCAGTGTTCAAGACATGGAATGAGCAGTATGCCCGCCTTATAGAAAAAGAACATATTAAAAATGTATTCTTTCCATTAGAATCAAGCCCAAAAAAATTTTTTTAAAAATCTCTTTCACTGCTCAAAGCACTGACAGATTTTTACTTCCCCAAAGTATGTGGGTAGTTCTTTTGGTCCTCAAACTAGTTAAAAAGTACTTCATGTGTTAGCTTATTCATCTAAATATCCATTTCAAGTAGACTGGTTTTAAAATCTCCATGGAAATTTAGCTTTCCATTTTAACATTCCTTTAACTTCTTTTCTGTAATTTCTAAAAGCTTCTTATATCTGCAGGAATGTACACAATGACTAAGTCAAAATGTTTCAGACTAATATTTAATAATTTCTTAAACAAACATGTTCTAACCTACAAAGAAACAAGTCAATAAATTATGACCCTCTCTCATTGGTTTCGACGTAACATAGTTTGAAAACATTCTAACAAAATTTAACTTTATGTAAGTAATATGAAGAAAAATGTACAGCATATATGACAGATAAAGGATTGATATTATAACCATATATATAGTTTTTATATATAAACTATTAATATTTATTTTAGTATTTCATTGGGGGAGAAGTAATCATGGTTTTTGAACCATGATTACTTTTGCATCAACCTAATATGTTAATATAAAACACTAGCGTATTATTAAATACGAATTTTTACTCAGAGATCAGCATCAAAGGGGAAAAGCATATTTATATATGAATGTTTGCAAAAGACACAATACATTTTTTATACCTTTTGACCACAGTCTGTAGAAGAAAAGAACACACACACATAAATTATCACAAAGATTATTCAAAGTAGAAAAATAGAAAGAAAACATTCTGAGTTGAGGAGGGAAAAGGAAACAGGCAGTTTTAGAAGAAAAGAAATGAAAAGAGAGATCATGTGAAGACTTCACGACTGTTGTAGGAAGAGATCTAAAGATCTTTGCTAGCACAGTGCTAACAAAGTGAAAGGCATCCAAAACCATGCAGAGAAAGATAATGAGAGAAAAATATTAATTGGAATCAGAGAACAAATTAAAGTTCTCAGCAAATTGAAAAGCAGCCGTCTTGGGGGCTTCAAAGGCACTGAGGAAAGTTCTATTTTTAATCTGAGTGGCAAAAACACAATTACTCATTTACTCTTTTTTAGGTCATACATATTTTTTATTATAACATATATATGTATATACATATAATATATGTGTATATATACACGTGTGTGTGTGTGTATCAAAAACAACAGAAGTTTAGTGATATATATATGTAGCTCACATATGCATGGGAGATACCAGTAGAAAATAAGTAAATATCCATAATATATTTTAAAACTAAAAAAAATCAAAGAGACTAAAAGAAACGTTAATCAAGATAATTTTTGATGATGTTTAAAAATAACAAAGACATATTTTTAGATATTAAAGAATAGCAGATATGCATACTACCAAGAAGAAGATTACCAAATACAAACAAAAATATCTTCAGAAATAAAAATTCAAAGTAGATAATGAAAAGAGCAGTTGACATTATATGCCAAAGGCATTGTCATTATTGTTTTCAAAATCATTAAAGAATAAGTGTGATATTTAGGTATTCAAAAAAAGTTTCAGTTTGTGCTGTGACTCTGAAAAAACATTAAAATAGAATAATTTGTTTAATTATCAAAATGCAGATATAGGTCAAACTTGTATCTCAGTTTTAATAAATATATTGAAATTATAGTTAATATTTTTAAAGTTCTAAAATATTGAAATATTACCCAGTTATTTCTTTTCCTAATTCATTTTTTCTTTATTTCTTGATCCAAATTATCCTCCAGAGATTGCATTAAGTCAATACATATGTTTAATTTCTCTTTTCTATCTTCAGTCTTTTAAAGAAATTTAATTATTATTAAAAATCTAGAGATACTCTTCTTTCCTAAAAATATTATTTCTCTTGAGTTCATGAGTTATATATGTGTAAAGCCGTTTTATAACATGCAGTTTATACACTTTATTCCAATAATGACAGATTGAAACATAATTTTTTAAAAAACAACCCAAAATGATTTATACTTTCATTAGTATCATTTGTGGAATTTAAACTTCCAAAATTTATTTGGTAAAAAAGTTTTTATGCATAAAATACTAAATGCTAACAATAAGTGAAAAAATAATTAGTTATATTTACATTTTGGTTTCCAAAGATGCCCTCAAAGCATTGTCATCAATAGTTCACAATATTCCAGGTTTGTTCATTCAGATCTAAGTAAGATAATTTTTTGAAAGCTCTCATTTGTTCCCCATAACATTTCTGATTCTCACCTAACTTCAGGATAAGGTAACTACGCTCATTCTCTGTAAGCATTCTTTTATAGTTTTTTTTTCTTTTTCTTTTTCTATTAACCATTTTTCTTTAGATAAAGTGTATGTGTTTTCTATGTTTCTCATTCTCAATATTCTCAACTTATAATGGGTTTATCAAGACGTAATGCCACTGTAAACTGAGGAGACCCAGTACCGTGGGTTGAAAATCCCTATTCTAAAATCTGAAGCTTCAAAATTTGAAACTTTTAAAATGCAGACATAATTTTTCTCAATAGTCAGAACAAATATGAGTATTGACTAGAACAATTGTCCTCTATTAGAGTGGTTTCTGTTTTATATTTATTGATTAAGATATATTTCAAATAAAACTTTATTATGTCAATGTCTGAAAAAATAAATTATCAGTATAATATATTTAATTGTAACAACTGGTAAGATAGAATATTTTCAATTTACACAATAACAGGTAGCATGTATGTCAGATATTATCCCCTGCTTAGGCAAATTTATAATAAGACATGATTATGTCTCATGAAAAAATAAAGCAATGTACAATTGAAAGTTAAATTGTTCTGCACCAACTAGAAAACACATCCTGAAGCATAAGGTCAATGAGAGTCAGAACAGTCAGAGAAAGCTTTATGAAAATGGAAAATGTGTCCACCAAGTCTGAATGAATGAGGATAGATGAACAAAAACTGAAAATGGAGGAACAGCATGAGGAAGGCAGAGAGATATGGAAATCGGCCCAATTAACTAAATATAAAATCCAGTGGCAGAGAAATAAAAATATAGGCCCACACAATAACTTGTAAGTGAATGCTTACAGCAGCGTTATTCATAATGGCCACAAGCAGAAGCAACCTAAACATCTATCAACTGATGAATGAATAGCTGCTGTAGCCATGCAATAGAATATTATTTGACAATAAATAGAAATGAAGTACTGATATGTACTACAAAATAGATGAAACTTAAAAACACTATGCTAAGTAAGAGAAGCCACTCATTAAACACCACAAATTGTATGACTCCATTTCTATGAAATGTTCAGAACAGGCAAATCTATAAAGACAAAAACTAGACGATGGTTGCCTAGGACTGGGGAAGGTGAAGAAACATGGAGGTGGGCGGTGGTGATGACTAAGAGATGTGAAGTTTCTCTTTAGGGTGATGAAAATGTTCTGAAAATGACTGTGGTGATGGTTATACAACTTTGTGAATATATTAAGAGATGCTGAGTTGTACAATTTAAATGTGTGAACTATATGATATGTGAATTTTATCCCAATAAAGTTCCTTTTTAAACATCCAATGGCAGTATCAAGATAATTTCCTCTATTTTCTATTTTGAATGTTTGAATGCATACTATACATGATCTAAATGTTTATGTTTATACAATATAATTAAAAACAAAAAATAAAAGAATTGCCTAGCTATTCTAATACTGTGTATATTAACCTAAACATCTCCATTTTGGAGAACAGTATAATGTCCTTGGCATCCACTCACAAAAGTGGAGCTAAGAAATAAGATAATTTTCTGGAATATTCCATTATACATTCTTCTCTGATTAAATATGGCTTGCCTCGCCATGGTAACATAAATCACTGAAAAACACTGTTTATCTGAAGAATAGTCTCCCAACCTGTGGGCTAAACAATGTATAATTCTTAATCTTCTTAAGGGTAAATATTATGAGAAAAATATGTAATTATAAGAAAAACATTACAGAATGACAGCCACAGTTTTAAAAATAAGCACATTTTAAAGATAATAAAATTGTAACAAAACTAACTATAATGACATATAAAAGAAGTCTTCCCATGGAAGTTAGTATCATAAAACAATTTATATTATTTAACCAGCTATAGATTCACTGTTGGCATGTTACATTTAATGCATACTTGACTTTTGATTTGAAATCATTTCTTCATTAAATCCTGTATCTCATCTTTGAGATTAATGTGATAATGTGATGTAACCTCTAGTGAAGCCTCAGACACACACTGTTTATTGAGATCAGCCAAGTTTTTTTGAAGTTGTCTCACAATGACCTGACAAGACATGTTTGTTATTGATTTTGTAAATCATCTTATCAAATTAACAATATTTACTTTCAAAAATATCCCCAAATATATTGATTCAGCTTATTTTCTTCATTTGTACCCATTGCTGCTTATTACTGAATCCACTTAAGGAGACAAGAAGATGTTATCTTCCTGCCAAACTGGTACTCTCTTACTAGACACCAGATTCATCCCACTAGTCATTTGTCCGCTAATGAATCTGTAATGCTTCACAACCTACTGAAGTCTCAAAAAAAAAAAAAAAAAATGTGGGAAGGACTAATGGTGGTAAATTCTACACAGTGGAATGCTTTCTCCTTCTTCTGTATTAGAAGCACAAATCAACATCAAAGTTCCTCACATATTCAATCACATGCTGAAATTTTTCCAATAGATTTCTATCTCAGAATAAAAGTATTTTTATTTCAAAGGCTTTAGAGGCCTTAGGTAACCTGGTCTCTGCATCCCTCCTGACCTCAGCTGCTGTGTTTCTCTTCTCTACTCACTTCTTTTGTACTATACATGAACCCTGCCACCCCTCATGAATTGTAAAATGGGGACCCAATGCAAAGCTAATAAATCACAGAGAGCTACAATGATCTTTCTCTGGGACATGATAATCTTTGAGCCTTCAAATAGAAATTATGAGCAAATTATTTGTAACAATATTCAAAATAAATTATAAATACCAGTGGGGTGATTAAATCAAATTTGATATTGCTAAAATTCACTACATTTGTCCTAAGGTATTATTTAATAAAACACAGATGCCTTTAAAAAATTGAGGTTATAACAATACATAATTTGAGATTCAAATATGTTCAGATTTAAGTCAAATTGACATAAATGAAAATAAAATTCTATCAACTAAAATACATAAAAAGCTACTGAAAAAAAGTATTATTACAAGACGCAGAAATGTATACTTCAAATACACTTCAGTTCCTCTGGAAAATTTAGAATTAACTGTCAAAGTAAATTGCTAAATTGAATCTTAATTTCAAAATACTAATTGCTGATACGGGCATTCCCATTCATCTGCTTCATTGTGGTCATAAAATGTGGCCACAAAGAGACATTAAAACCTTTATTTCAACAGTAAAAGCCAATGTCATTAATGTTAATCTATTAAAAATCTTAAACTCTTAAAATTTCATCAGTGACACAATGTCTTTACTCAAAGTAAAACGTCTCTCAGCTTTAACTTTCATTTGGTGGAAATGAGGCATGTTTCTAAGCTGATATAGTAAGTGCATTTATCATCTATTTATACATACATATATTATATATATATATATATATATATATATATATATATATATATTCAACTAGATTCAGCATTTAGCCAAGGCCAAATATGACTTTAAACTTTCTTTCAGGAAGTTTGACAAGTATTTATATTTTTTGATACTTACTTCTGTTTCTGCTTTCTCTTTTTCATATTGATATATACGGTTTTTTAAATGGTTATTGTAATTAAATATCTCCTCATTTTTCTCTTTTAGGAGATGATGTTGCATTTTCCTCTCAAGAAAATGAATATCAATTGTTATCTTGCTTTTGTTGTCAGCTTTCTTATGTGCATGAACTAATTGCTGTTGAAGCCACATATTTTTGCTTTGTAGTTGAAATAATTTCTGATCTAGAGACTCCTGCTGTTCAGTGTGTTTGTTCACATTATCTTGTTCGTTTTGATACATGTGTTCAGCTTCCTTCATTTGACACTGTGTTTCACGTTGGTCTCTTTGTGCATGTTCTGAAACCAATGTATTTTCTCTTAGAGCATCTCCTGCATAATTGAGATTAATTTTTAGGCTTTTGGATTTCCTTTGAGCTTCAGAAAGTGGTTGATGGAGCACCTCATTGTTATATATCGTACTACTCACATCAACATTCATTTTTCTTTGCAAACAAGCATCTCCTGCAATGTGGAAAGCAGGTTCTTGACTTTTTCTTGATGTCACAATTTGATCATGGTCTTGTACAGCAGAAGCCAGTCTAGGATGGTGTGATTCAATTTCTGCCTCTAGTATTTCTTTGTCTTGTTTTTCCTTCAATTTAGAAGTGAGCATTGTGTTCTCAGCTATCAGAACTTTAAGCTGCCCACTATATTGAGATGCCCTTTTAGTTAATGATTCCTCTTTCAGTTTTAGGGTCATCTGAAGTTCAGCATTCTTTTCTTTTAAAATCTTAATGTCCTCAAAGTATTTATTTTCCTTTTCCTGGTATTGGTGTTTCAGTGTGGCTATTTCCAGTTTTAGCATGGCAATTTCCTTTTTCAACATGCAATTTTCATGTAAGAGATAATTTTCATTTTCATGAGTGTGAGAAACCTAAATAAAACAAAATAAACTTTTAGCTAGCACTCAATAAAATGGCATATCATGGTTCCTCTGAAACTAAAGAATAACTTGTACATTTATACAATGAAAGGGTTTTTATAAGTAGGTATCAGTTGAAGAACCACTGAATCAAAACTTTAAATGCTATAGAGCATAAATTCCCCAAAGTTCAAACATTTATTTGAAGACAACGAATTCATGAAAGTACAAAAGAAATGACTAGAGAGTTTTTAAGAACCTCGGAATTGAAAAAAAAAACTTTCCCTGAATTACAACAAGCTCAAAAGCATAAAATAAAAGATAAATCAATTTGACTACATACGAAAATTGGGTTTACACTCTGATGTCTAACATATACTAAGAATCTTAGTGCTGCATATATTTAGACAGATAAAATTTCCCAGAGCTCTTTCAGTTCCTTTTTCCTGATAATATTCTCTAGATATTCTATCTTTTTAAAAAATATAGTTAATTTTAAGAATTATATTTATGAATGTTTGATAAGTTGAGACATTGTAACAAGCACTTTTAGTTATCACAATTCTGAAAGGAAAAGATTAAAAATATAAACAAGTTGTAGGATTTTCTCCCAGTCTTCTGAGTCTACATCCAGGACTTCACCAAATCTCAGTTCATTCTACTGGGTAAATATGTAAATATAAAAGAAGTCTTCTATTTCAAAACAAAAGAAAGAAGATAAAATCTAGAGAGCCCTACATAGAAAACCATGAGCTTATTTACTATGGCTGTAACTTTTGCTTCCTCTTGATAATGTTTGAGTCAGTATTAAATGTTAACTAGGAAAAACACTAAACTATGTTGCTAGGAACAAACTACTTACCAATAAATTATCACTAACTATATGGTAGGGATTATCATTGTTTTCAAAAGCTCTTTGTACTGAAATAAGATACTACTTGGATGTCATAACTTATAATAAATAACTGTAGCTACAAATGTGATAGTTAATTTTAAGACAACATTTTTGTTTGATTTAGACCTGAATAATACATACTAAATCAAAGGGATATTAAAAGTAATATTGATGAAATAAAGTTAGAAATATAAAATTTTTATCAGAGATTGATTTACCTGATTCAAATTACTTTCTACACTCTTCAATTCTATATCTTGTATTCTGAGAGCCTGTTCAAGTTGTTGTTTCACTTCTAACTCTTTCCTATGCTGCTCTTCGATTCTTCCTAATTCTTCCCTAATTTTTTCATTTAATATATCGGCATTTCTTCTCTTCTCTTCTTCTTGGTTTAAAGTCAATCTGCCATTAAACATACTTATCTTAAAATTCATTTTGTTAGAAAATAGAATTCATTTTGAGATCTATTTCTTCCTATATTGGGTTATTAGTCCAATAAAATTCCTATATTCTTGAATTTTTTTCTTCCTAGTTCTCAGCTATTTATTACTCCAAACTCTTCCAAATGACATACATACTTGAAAAATAGCGAGAAAAGAACATCTTCCAGTTAGAAAGTTTCTGCTACTATTAACTGCAACGACTGTTATAGAAAAGAATATTGGAAGCTATCCAGTAAATTTATAAGTTGAAAATTATTTTTTAAAAATCTCACGCAGTCAAAATTACTCCTCAATGAGGACAGATTATTTAGAGTTAACTGATTAAAGTGACTGATTAAAGTTAACTGATTACTTTTTATGAACAAGTTTACAGATCTGTTAGACATAAATATTCATACTTCTAAAATATGGCAAGTATCCCTAAAAATAATTTTAATATTAAAATCTCAGATTAGGTTAAAGAGTCTAATATCTGTTATCCCATATGCCTTTTGTTTCTTTTTTGAGTAATGCTTTAAACGTACCTTGTTGATTATTATATATTTTATCAACAAATTTTAAATCTCTTTTAGAACAAGACAGAATATAATATTTAATTAAAGAATAAAAATAGTATGCATTTTTAACATAGAACTCTGAATTCATTTTATGTAGGACAGCAAGAGATGTTGAATAAACTAATAAATTATTATACATTTTCTTTATATTCCATGCACATTAAGATTAAAAGTGTATAATTGAAAGAAATCGAGTCTTGGGGAAAGAAGAATGGCCATTTCACGCTCTCTTTGTTGAACTGTAATGAATATACATTTTCTTGAGAACAATTTAGAAGTAATGAACAAATAACTTCTTAAAAACTTCCTATAACTTAACCAAATATTTTTATATTGAAGAATTTATTTCAAGTCAATAATTAGAAAAGTAGAAAAAGTTTTACATGCAGTTATGCCTTGCAGCATTTATAATACAGAAAGTTAAAAATCAAAAAACTTAATTTGTTAAGTAAGTAATGGGATTTCCAAATAATGGCCTTCTATATAGCCATTAAAACTGTGATTTAAATAAATATGCATTTAATTATCAGCAGAAGTATTCACATTTAAGAACTTGTATTATTTAAAGAATTTGACACTCTACAAGACAGACATTTTTTTCTCCAGTAAAACCTCAGAAGGTAAGTCAGCTATTACAAAAAGTATCCTACGTAGTTTTAGTATAAATAGCTGAAATATTTATTTAAAACTAGGAAATCACACCTCACACTGCAGAGCTCTTGTTCCCATTTAACTTTTTGGTTCTCTAACTGTGATTTTATTTCTTTTGCTTCTGACAGTTTCTTTTTCAGTACACAAAACTTCTTTTTCATTTGTTCCATTTTTCCTGTACGTTGTTCACAGTGATCTTTTTGAAGTTCCCTTGCTCTTTCACAAGAATGAACTGTATCCAAGATTTTTGATAGGCTAGTTGAATCTGTCTCAAGGAGGAGATACAAATAAAATATATTAGTACTTTTGGGATATAAAGGGCTGCATATTTTAACAATCACTTATACACTGAACAAATATATATTGATTGCCTACCACGTGGAAGGCATTATACTAAGCTCTGCAGATTAAACAGAAAAAAAAAAAACCTCTCCTCTTGTTTAGCTTAAAATATACTGAAAAGCAAAGCCCCAGAAAAGTGACAATTATAAATTCAGATAGATACTGTAAGAAAACAGATTGCTAAGAATAAGATATATACTAGGCCCACAGAAAATTCCCCTGAGGAATGTATGGCTACACTGTGGAATAAAGATTGAAAAGGAAGCAGTTGAGCAAAGGGGGAAGAAAAGCATTTTAGCCAGTGTGTGGCATGTGCTGAAGCTCTAGTGTAGTCTGACCCCAGCCAAAAGAGAACAATGGGTATTGATTTTTCTTCTTAGCTAAAATAACTAAAAAGAAAACACACAAAATACATTAAACAATTTTTTTAGACAGTGGACATTAGGCAAAGAAGATGATAATCCCTGAAAAACAGAAAAAAAATGGAAAGCAAACCTTATGAATGTTTCAGCTTCCTGCTTTGACAGAGATTCCAAGACGTGACACAGGAAGAAAAAACTGAGGTGGAACCTATCAGACTCTCTTGGTTACAGTGATGAAGCTTAGAGTCTGGTAAAACCAAAGCAGACAGACATTACAGAACAAAACACTGAGGAGGGGAGAGAGATACAGAAGCAATAGCAAGAAACCCCTGGAAACCCCTCCTACTATTTAGCAAAATAATAAAGATTGCATGTGAGTCAGAAAACTACCTAAGACCAAGCTGGGTCGGGGGGGTCTTACAAAATTAGAGAAAATCACACCTGGTTCTCACATAGTGGCAAGAAGAGTGTCTATTTTTATAGATTTACCTGGAAGACTCAGACTTCACAGGAAAATGAATAGTCAGAAAGGCCTTGCCCCTCAGGTGTGGGGAGTTAGCTCATACCATAAAAAGCAAAAATGAAAAAGATCAAGCTGTTTATAAGTAACTCAACTCTATTCTACAATAAAAATCAAGAAGATAAGTAGAGCAATAGAATATACTTTTAAAAACTAAATTGCACTTGTAGAGATACAAGTTACAATGCCGGAGATGAAAGCTACACTGAGTAGATATGAGCATAGATTGATTTGCCATCAGGAAAGAAAAGATTCACAAATTTGAGACACTAGAGAACTATGAGCAAACTCCCAGCAGGTAATATATAAGTCTCCAAACAGGTAGGAGGAGAGACAGAAAAAAACATTTGAGGAAAAATTGGCTAAATACATTCTAAACTTAATGAAAGCTACAATCCCACAGATCCAGGCTGGGATCTGGCTGGAAGAGAAGAAATGAAAATACACAATTGTAATTTCTTATACCATCTATGATATGATATAATATTACTTGAAGATGGGTTGTGATGAGGTAAATCCATACACTATAAATCCTAAAAAAACCACTAAGACAGCAAAGCAAAGAGTTATACCTAATAACCAAATAAACTTATACCACAAAAAGATATGACTAAATCATAAAGAAATATAAAACTAGATCAATAACTAAAAAAGTTATACATATATATATATATATATATACCTATAAAACTAAATCATAAAAATTACTAAACTAGTCTGAAGGAAGCAGAAAAAGAACAAAAGCAAAGCAAAGAAGATCTGGAACTAATAGAAATCAAACAGCATGATGACAGCAAACTTTTATCATATCAATAATTACATTATAAATTAAAGTGGTCTAAAAACCTCTGCTCAAAAGCAGATTGTCAGAATGGATATAAAAGTAAGATCTACCTGTGTAATGCCTATAAGAAATAAACTTTAAATATAAAGACAAAAATTGATTAAAGATGAAACAACATATACCACACTAACACTTGACAAAAGAAGGCTGAGGAAGGGTGGTTGTATTAATACCAAAGTACATTTCATAGCAAAAATATTACCAGCAATAAACAAAGTCATTTTATAGTGACAAAGGGTTCACTTAATCAAGAAAACATAACAGTCCTAAATATTTATGTGCATAATAACATAAATCCTTCAAAATACATGATACAAAGATAGAACTGCAAAAGAAATGGACAAATGCCCAAGTGTGGTCTAAAATTTCTAAACCCCTTACTCAAGTGGTAAAATGAGAGGCAGAAAATCGGCAAGAATGTGATAGACTTAACACCATTCTTCAGAAGTACTCAAAGACTATATTCTAGATCATATCTTAATAAAAGGATTAAGAAGGATTTAAGTCATACAAAACATGTTACCTGACCCAAAAGCAATCAAATTAAAAATCAATAATAAAAAAGTACCTGAAACAACTCAACTATTGGAAATTAAGTAACATACATCCAAATAACCCTGGGTTGGTTCAAAAATAATAAAAAGGAAAATTAGAAAGTATTTTGAACTAATTTCAAATGAAAACACAACACATTAGATATTGTAAAATGCATCTACAACAGCACTTAAATTAAAATTTTCAGCACTGAATGTCTACATTAGAAGACTCTCAAATAAATAACTTTGACTTTTACCTTAAGAAACCAAAAAAAAAAAAAAAAAGAAGAAGAAGAAAAAAGTAAACTCAGTGGAAGCAGAGGAAAGGAAATGATGAATATCTGTACTGGTTTGAATGTTTTTGTCCTTGCAATTTTCGTATGCTAAAATCAAATCATAGAGGTGATGTTATTAGGAGGTAGGAGTTTTGGGATGTAATTAGGTCATGAGGGCCAACCCTTCATAAATGGATTAATGCCCTGATAGAAATAACCCCAGAGAGCCTCTTTACCCTTTCTGCCATGTGAAGACACAGGGAAAAACAGTGCATCGATGAATCATGAAGTGGTACCTATTCAGACATCAAATCTGATGATACCTTGATCTTGAACTGTGCAGCTTCCACAATGGTGAGAATTCAATTTATGTTGCCGATAAGCTCCCAACTACAGATTTTTTAAATAATAGGCAAAGAGAACTAAAACATCAGAGATGGAACGAATAAAACGCAAAAATGATAGAAAACTTGAACAACACCAAACACTTTGAGAGGATCAATAAAAGCAAAAGTCTATCTAGCCAAACTAGCTCTTGAAAACAAAAACTACAAATTACCAAGTTTGAAAATGAGTTAATGTGACATTCTTTAAGATTCTACAGATACTTAAAAATACATGGTAATAATATAAAATTTATGTGAATAAACATGACAACTTAGACAAAATTGACAAATTCATTGAAATGTGAAAATTACCATCTGATCTTTGACAAAACTGAAAAAAAAAGCAATGGGGAAATAATTCCCTATTTAATAAATGGTGTTGGGAAAGCTAGCTGGCCATATGCAGAAAACTGAAACTCGACCCCTTCCTTACACCTTACACAAAAATTAACTCAACATGGATTAAAGACGTTATTTCTGAGGACTCTGTTCTATTCCATTGGTCTATATCTCTGTTTTGGTACCAGTACCATGCTGTTTTGGTTACTGTAGCCTTGTGGTATAGTTTGAAGTCAGGTAGCGTGATGCCTGCAGCTTTGTTCTTTTGGCTTAGGATTGACTTGACAATGCGGGCTCTTTTTTGGTTCCATATGAACTTTAAAGTAGTTTTTCCAATTCTGTGAAGAAGGTCATTGGTAGCTTGATGGGGATGGCATTGAATCGATAAATTACCTTGGGCAGTATGGCCATTTTTACGACATTGATTCTTCCTACCCATAAGCGTGGAATGTTCTTCCATTTGTTTGTATCCTCTTTTATTTCATTGGGCAGTGGTTTGTAGTTCTCCTTGAAGAGGTCCTTCACATCCCTTGTAAGTTGGATTCCTAGGTATTTTACTCTCTTTGAAGCAATTGTGAATGGGAGTTCACTCATGATTTGGCTGTCTGTTTGTCTGTTATTGGTGTATAACAATGCTTGTGATTTTTGCACATTGATTTTGTATCCTGAGACTTTGCTGAGGTTGCCTATCAGCTTGAGAAGATTTTGGGCTGAGACGATGGGGTTTTCTAGATATACAATCATGTCGTCTGTAAAAAGGGACAATTCAACTTCCTCTTTCCCTAATTGAATACCCTTTATTTCCTTCTCCTGCATGATTGCCCTGGCCAGAACTTCCAACACTATGTTGAATAGGAGTGGTGAACCATCAAAAATTGGGCAAAGGATATGAACAGACACTTCTCAAAAGAAGACATTTATGCAGCCAAAAGACACATGAAAAAATGCTCATCATCACTGGCCATCAGAGAAATGCAAATCAAAACCACAATGAGATACCATCTCACACCAGTTAGAATGGCGATCATTAAAAAGTCAGGAAACAACAGGTGCTGGAGAGGATGTAGAGAAATAGGAATGCTTTTACACTGTTGGTGGGACTGTAAATTAGTTCAACCATTGTGGAAGTCAGTGTGGTGATTCCTCAGGGATCTAGAACTAGAAATACCATTTGACCCAGCCATCCCATTACTGGTTATATACCCAAAGGATTATAAAACATGCTGCTATAAAGACACATGCACACATATGTTTATTGCAGCACTATTCACAATAGCAAAGACTTGGAACCAACACAAATGTCCAACAATGATAGACTGGATTAAGAAAATGTGGCACATATACACCATGGAATACTATGCAGCCATAAAAAATGATGAGTTCATGTCCTTTGTAGGGACATGGATGAAGCTGGAAACCATCATTCTCAGCAAACTAGCACAAGAACAGAAAACCAAACACCACATGTTCTCACTCATAGGTGGGAATTGAACAATGAGAACACATGGACACAGGAAGGGGAACATCACACACCAGGGCCTGTTGTGGGGTGGGGGAGGGATAGCATTAGGAGATATACCTAATGTTAAATGATGAGCCAATGGGTGCAGCACACCAATATGGCACATGTATACATATGTAACTAACCTGCATGTTATGCACATGTACCCTAAAACTTAAAGTATAATAATAAAAAAAATTCTAGATAAAAAAAAAGATGGATTAAACACTTAAACATAAGACCTAAAACCATAAAAAGCCTAGAAGAAAACCTAGGCAATATCATTCAGGACATAGGCATGGGAAAGACTTCATGACTAAAACACTAAAAGCAATGGCAACAAAAGCCAAAATTGACAAATGGGACTTAATTCAACTAAAGAGCTTCGGCACAGCAAAAGCAACTAACATCAAAATGAACAGGCAACCTACAGAATGGGAGAAAATTTTTGCAATCTATCCATCTGACACAGGGCTAATATCCAGAATGTACAAGAACTTAAACAAATTTACAAGGAAAAAACAAACAACCCCATCATAAAGTGAGCAAAGGATATGAACAGATACTTCTTCAAAGATCACATTTATGCAGCCAACAAACATATGAAAAAAAGCTCATCATCACTGATCATTAGAGAAATGCAAATCAAAACCACAATAAGATATCATCTCACGCCAGTTAGAATGGCAATCATTAAAAAGTCAGGAAACAACAGATGCTGGAGAGGATGTGGAGAAATAGAATCGTTTTTACACTGTTGGTGGGAGTGAAAATTAGTTCAACCATTGTAGAAGAGAGTGTGGCGATTCCTCAAGGATCTAGAACCAGAAATACCATTTGACCCAGCGATCCCATTACTGGTTATATACCCAAAGGATTATAAATCATTCTATTATAAAGACACATGCATACATAGGTTTATTGGGGGAGTATTCTCAATAGCAAAGACTTGGAACCAACTCAAATGTCCATCAATGATAGACATTGGATAAAGAAAATGTGGCACATATACACCATAAAATACTATGCAGTGATAAAAAAGGATATGAATTCATGTCCTTTGCAGGGACATGGATGAAGCTGGAAACCATCATTCTCAGCAAACTAGCACAAGAACAGAAAACCAAACACTGCATGTTCTCACTCATAAGTGGGAGTTGAACAATGAGAACATATGGACACAGGGAGGGGAACATCACACACCAGGGACTGTTGGGGATGAGGGGCTGGGGGAGGGGTAGCATTAGGAGAAATACCTAATGTAGATGATGGGTTGATGGGTACAGCAAACCACCATGGAATGTGTATACCTATGTAACAAACCCACATGTTCTGCACATGTAACCTAGAACTTAAATTATAATATAAGAAAACCTTTTTAACTAGGAATGACAGTATACTGATTCTGGCAAAGGTTCAAAGGAAATTTTTATGTAAAAGATCCAACTCTCTTTTGCCAAAATATAAATGATGTCAACAATAGGAAAATAAGATCTAGTCAGTGTCAAAAAAAATATAATATCTCAAGAAAAAATAGTTAACCTGCATTGCCCTAAATATATAAAAGAAGATTAAGTCATAGTTAAAAGTCTTCCTACATTGAAAAGTCCAGGAAAAGAATCCTACACTGGTGAGTTCTACCAAATATTTTAGAAAAAAAGAGGTATAATTCTAAACAAACTCTACTCCTAAAATAAAAGAAAGTATGACATAGTTTGGATGTGTGTCCCCACCAAAATCTCCCATTGAAATGTCATCTCCAATGTTGGCAGTAAAGCTTGGTGAGAGGTGAATGCATCATGAGGGAAGATTTCTCACAAATAATTTAGCACCGTGCCTTTGGTGCTGTACTCACAATAGTGATCCTCATGAATATTGGTCATTTAAACATGCATGGCACCTCCCACCTCTCTCTCTTGCTCCTGCTCTGGCCATGTGATGTGCAAGTTCTTCCTCACGTTCCACCATAATTGTAAGCTTCCACAGGCCTCCCCAGAAGCAGAGCCCCACGTTATGCTTCCTGTACAACCTGTAGAACTGTGCGCCAATGAAATCTATTTCCTCATAAATTACCCAATCTCAGGTATTTCTCTATAGCAATGCACAAATAGCCTAATACACAGTACATTTTAACTCATTGTATAATGCTAGCATTACTCTAAATCAAAACCAGATGATATTATTACAAACAAGAGAACTGCCTTATGAACATGATTGCAAAAATTCAACCAATTTGTGAGGCAATAATGATAACCTTAGAAAGATGAGTGTATAAACTGTGCTATAGTCATACAATGGAATATTACTAAGGACTCAAAAGAGATGAACTATCAAGCTATGAAAAGACATGAAAAGACTTAAATGCATATTTCTAAAAATGACATTATCCAGAAAACAAAATTATGTATAGATAGAGTAAAAAGATCAGTGGTTGCCAAAGGGTTGAGGAATAAAGTCGTGTGCTGATATCCTGTGTTTTTTCAGCTTTCAGACTTTTGGCTCATCTTTCCAATCTGAAAAGAGAGTCACTTCTTCTATTTAAGTTTACTTTCACTTGCTTGAGACATGTTATCACCTTGGAGGGTGTGGCTTTAACATATGCTGAAGAATGCAATTTGTTTCTGAGTGCTGTCAGGGGAGTCAGCCTCTGTATGATTCTTTTGGTTATATGTAAACTTAGTATGGTGGTTTTCCCAAATGCTAGTTCTCATGGCAGCATACTGGGCAGGTGAGAAGGCCCTCAATTTGCTGCAGAAATGAGAAAGTGGAGGTCTCAAGAAGCCTACATCATTTCCCTATCCACACTTGAGTCAGCAAATTTTGTAATGGGGTGTGCAGTGCAACCTCCCAGCCAACAAATGGTGACCACAGGTTAGAATGTACTGTGGCAGAAGCGGATAAGAATATGCTTTGTCTTTGTTTTACCGGTAGGAACTCTCTGTTACCTCAGGTTATCGGCAAGTCTGTGTAATGCCCAGTGCCCTGAATTCTCTACTCAGCTCCAGAAAGAAGGACGAAGCTGAGCAAAACTACACTGACAAGCTGGACTGGACTGACAAAACTGGCTTGATGTTTGGATACCCTAATGAGGGGCACAGACACCAGCCAAGACAAGGGTCTCAGGAAAAGCTCTTAGTGAATTGCAAAGAGGCTCCCAGAGGAAAGAGAAAATGCAGCATCAGTTCTATGTCCTGAGTGGTCATGAATGGCTCTGCTTCCTTATCAAAACCCTGACCTAAGACTCATAAAGAGCTCGTATGAATTTTTTTTTCTTCTAAAAAGCAGTCTCTTGTCTTCCTTTCCCCACAAAAAACACACTATGTCTGATAGTCACCATTTACCCAGATATGTTTAATTAAATATCAACCCTCATTTTCTTTCAGGAATTAATATTTTACTATTACTTTCTTTAATTGACTCAGCAAACTTTATGACATAGTTTGTTTTCCAGGATAAATTATTCATCAATAAGATTCTTCAAAGATATATATACTTTTCTATCAATGAAATTTATGTCTAGTCATTTAAAGTTTAAAGAGGTATGAGACTATTCTGTCAATGAATTATACAGACATGGACTTTAAAACACTTTATTGAATATATTTTCAAAAAACTATTATAATGATAATGATATAGTCTCTTTCTAATGCACCAATATATTAAGAATGTACTTGTGAAATTTTGGATAAATATATTAGAAATTTATATAAAAATAATAGCCATAAGTGACCTAATTTTTCACAAGTTAAAAAAAAAAGTCTAGGTTCAAACTATATCAAAAGTGTGCAGAGTCCCAGGTGACAAAAAGTAAGTATGTAACTATTTTCCTTCATAAACAAAAACATTGAGTTTAAAATTTTTAAGTGACAAAAGAAAAAAGCAAAGAACACACAAGGAAAATTTTACAAGCCATTTAATCATTTAGAGCCCATTTATCATATGGCATCTATGAATCTCACACATGGCTAACATATACTGGTTATAAATTGTGAGAGTTTCTGAAGTACAAGATACACTTCAGAATCACTTATATCAGTAAACTACAAACATTCATCATATTCTTTAATTTATCTTATAATTGAGAAGGTACACAGTTACAATGAGAGTTTAGCTGAATGTAAAATTGATGTCTCATCAACGAAAGTATAATGAATTTATGAGTATGGATGTATATTAGAAAATAATGGTAAATAAAATATTCATTGTTTTCCATACACATGGTGTAATTTTATGCCTACATTTTTTTGCATCCTCTCACTTATCCATCTGAATGTTTTTTGATCCCCTCATGTAAGAGGGCATATAAAACTCATAAAGAAAATAATGTATAAAAAACTTTCAATATTGAAATATGTATTCAACAACTTAATTGTTAAATATTAATTAAGTATAACCATTTTTATTTTGAAATCAGTATAATATTTATGTAAAAATCAGTTTTAGTATTCAAGTAATAAATTTAGCATTTTTTGTTTGTTTCTAAAATCAGTCTGATTTATCATGTTAGTCTCTAAGAAATTTTTATTTTTTCATTTTTATTTTTTTTGAGATGGGAGTCTCACTCTGCCACCCAGGCTGGAGTGCAGTGGAGCAATCTCAGCTCACTGCAGTCTCTGCCCCCTGGGTTCAAGCAATTCTCCTGCCTCAGCCTCCTGAGTAGCTGGGTTTACAGGCATGTGCTACCAAGCCCAGCTAATTAATTTTTGTATTTTTAGTAGAGACTGGGTTTCACCATGTTGGCCAGGCTGGTCTCGAACTGCTGACCCCAAGTGATCTGCCCGCCTTGGCCTCCCAAAGTGCTGGGATTACAGGCATGAGCCACCGGGCCCAGCCTTCTAACAGATTTTATAAAGCAGAAATTTTACAAAAAAAAGCCAATGGATTCATATTCAAATTTATCTCACTTAAATAAATAATATCAACAAAACATATCTCTATGAATCCTGAAAGTAACAGAGAAGAGTAATGAGTCACTGTGGGAGTCGCCAAATCTAGTAATACCTCCTTCTTCCAATACTCTCCAGAGCACACACAATCTCATCTTCTGGAGTGCAAACATTCCAAATGCATCTGAAGTGAATTCACTCAAGTTTCCTTCTCAGAAACCTCAAAATTAAGTTCATAGCTTCTTCCCCCCTCCCACTTCATGCCTCACAATTGCTATTCTTTAGCAAAATAATCTCCGGATCTGGATCTGTGGTCTTGATTCTTTCCCTTCAACACTTTTTAAAATAAATTTTCCTACCAGTTTCTTTCTCTTGTTCAGAAGTAATATCGTGCATCTATAAATTCTGTTTTTGCTTTTTAACCTCTTTCTTCTCCTCTTCTGGCTAAAAACATACTCAGATATAAAATCAAAATAATGCTTTCCCTTGACTCTGTTATGTCTTGACATTCTATCCAATTGCTCTTCTTCCAAATTATTTCAATGAAAACTCTATACCTTCGCTACTCAGTGTACAGTCCAAGAACCACCAGCATCAGCATCATCAGAGAATTTATTAAAATTGCATGACCTCAAGTCTGCTGAATCAGAATGTGCACTGTTAACAAGTTTTATAGCTCATTTCTTAAAGTTTGAAACCTTCTAGACAATACTGAAAAAATATATACATGTGTGGCTGCTCATATATGCTTATATTCACCAATAATAGATAAAACACAGCTTCACATAGTCAGGTAATTCCATCTCCAATGTCTTCCACAAGCGTGTAAGTACGGGTGGAAATTTTTTTTGTTGTTATTATACATTAAGTTCTAGAGTACATCTGCACAACGTGCAGGTTTTTTACATATGTATACATGTGCCATATTGGTGCACTGCACCCATTAACTCGTCATTTACATTAGGTATTTCTCTTAATGCTATCCCTCCCACCTCCCCCCACCCCATGACAGGCCCCCGTGTGTGATGTTGCACTTCCTGTGTCCAAGTGTTCTCATTGTTCAATTCCCACCTATGGGTGAGAACATGTGATGTTTGGTTTTCTGTCCTTGCGATAGTTTGCTCAGAATGATGGTTTCCAGCTTCATCCATGTCCCTACAAAGGATATGAACACATCCTTTTTTATGGCTGCAGAGAATTCCATGGTGTATATGTGCCACATTTTCTTAATCCAGTCTATCATTGATGTATATTTGGGTTAGTTCCAAGTCTTTGCTATTGTGAAGAGTGCTGCAATAAACATATGTGTGCATGTGTCTTTACAGTAGCACGATTTATAATCCTTTGGGTATATAACCAGTAATGGGATCCCTGGGTCAAATGGTATTTCTAGTTCTAGATCCTTCAGGAATCACCACACTGTCTTCCACAATGGTTGAACTAGTTTACACTCCCACCAACAGTGTAAAAGCGTTCCTATTTCTCCACATCCTCTCCAGCACCTGTTGTTTCCTGACTTTTTAATGATCGCCATTCTAACTGGTGTGAGATGATATCTCATCATGGTTTTGATTTGCATTTCTCTGATGACAGGTGATGATGAGGATTTTTTCATGTGTCTGTTGTCTGCATAAATATCTTCTTTTGAGAAGTGTCTGTTCATATCCTTTGCCCACTTTTTCATGGGGTGTTTGATTTTTTCTTGTAAACTTAAGTTTTTGTAGATTCTGGATATTAGCCCTTTGTCAGATGGGTAGATTGCAAAAAGGTTGCCTGTTCATTCTCATGGTAGTTTCTTTTGCTGTGCAGAAGAAGCTCTTTAGTTTAATTAGATCCCATTTGTCAATTTTGGCTTTTGTTGCCATTGCTTTTGGTGTTTTAGTCATGAAGACTTTGCCCATGCCTTTGTCCTGAATGGTATTGCCTAGGTTTTCTTCTAGGGTTTTTATGGTTTTAGGTCTAACATTTAAGTCTTTAATCCATCTTGAATTAATTTTTGTATAAGTTGTAAGGAAGGGATCCAGTTTCAGCTTTCTACATATGGCTAGCCAGTTTTCCCAGCACCATTTATTAAATAGGGAATCCTTTCCCCATTTCTTGTTTTTGTCTGGTTCATCAAAGATCAGATGGTTGTAGATGTGTGGTTCTGTTCCATTCATCTATATCTCTGTTTTGGTACTAATACCATGCTGTTTTGGTTACTGTAGCCTTGTAGTATAGTTTGAAGTCAGGTAGTGTGATGCCTCCAGCTTTGTTATTTTGGCTTAGGATCGTCTTGGCACTGCAGGCTCTTTTTTGGTTCCATATGAACTTTAAAGTAGTTTTTCCAATTCTGTGAAGAAAGTCATTGGTAGCTTAATGGGGATGGCATTGAATCCATAAATTACCTTGGGCAGTATGGCCATTTTCACGATATTGATTCTTCCTATCCATAAGCATGGAATGCTCTTCCATTTGTTTGTGTCCTCTTTTATTTCGTTAAGCAGTGGTGTATAGTTCTCCTTGAAGAGGTCCTTCACATCCCTTGTAAGTTGGATTCCTAGATATTTTATTCTCTTTGAAGCAATTGTGAATGGGAGTTCACTCATGATTTGGTTCTCTGTTTGTCTGTTATTGGTGTATAAGAGTGCTTGTGATTTTTGCACATTTATTATGTATCCTGAGACTTTGCTGATGCTGCTTATATCAGCTTAAGAAGATTTCGGGCTGAGACAATGGGGTTTTCTAAATATACAATCATGTCATCTGCAAACAGGGAAAATTTGACTTCCTCTATTCCTTATTGAATACCATTCATTTCTTTCTCCTGTGTGATTGCCCTGGCCAGAACTTCCAACACTATGTTGAATAGCAGTGGTGAGAGAGGGCATCCCTGTCTTGTGCCAGTTTTCAAAGGGAATGCTTCCAGTTTTTGCCCATTCGGTATGATACTGGCTGTGGGTTTGTCATAAATAGATCTTATTATTTTGAGATACATCCCATCAATACCTAGTTTATTGAGAGTTTTTAGCATGAAGTGCTGTTGAATTTTGTCAAAGGCCTTTTCTGCATCTATTGAGATAATCATGTGGTTTTTGTTTTTGGTTCTGTTTATATGATGAATTATATTTATTGATTTGCATATCTTGAACCAGCCTTGCATCCCAGGGATGAAGCCAACTTGATCATGGTGGATAAGCTTTCTGATGTGCTGCTGGATTCGGTTTGCCAGTATTTTATTGAGGATTTTTGCATTGATGTTCATCAGGGATACTGGTCTAAAATTCTGTTTTTTTGTTGTGTCTCTGCCAGGCTTTGGTATCAGGATGATGCTGGCCTCATAAAATGAGTTAGGGAGGATTCCCTCTTTTTCTATTGATTGGAATCATTTCAGAAGGAATGGTATCAGCTCCTCCTTGTACCTCTGGTAGAATTTGGCTGGGAATCTGTCCAGTCCTGGACTTTTCTTGGTTGGTAGGCTATTAATTATTGCCTCAATTACAGAGCCTGTTATTGGTCTATTCGGGGATTCTCCTTCCTGGTTTAGTCTTGGGAGGGTGTAGCTGTCCAGGAATTTATCCATTTTTTCTAGATTCTCCAGTTTATTTGCATAGAGGTGTTTATAGTATTCTCTGATGGTAGTTTGTATTTCTGTGGGATCGGTGGTGATATCCCCTTTATCATTTTTTATTGTGTCTATTTGATTCTTCTCACTTTTCTTCTTTATTAGTCTTGCTAGCAGTCTATCATATTTGTTAATCTTTTCAAAAAACCAGCTCCTGGATTCATTGATTTTTTGAAGGATTTTTTGTGTCTCTATCTCCTTCAATTCTGCTCTGATTTTAGTTATTTCTTGCCTTCTGCTAGCTTTTGAATGTGTTTGCTCTTGCTTCTCTAGTTCTTTTAATTGTGATGTTAGTGTATCAATTTTAGATCTTTCCTGCTTTCTCTTGTGGGCATTTAGTGCTATAAATTTCCCTCTACACACTGCTTTAAATGTGTCCCACAGATTCTGGTATGTGGTGCCTTTGTTCTCATCGGTTTCAAAGAACATATTTATTTCTGCCTTGATTTCGTTATGTACCCAGTAGTCATTCTGGAGGAGGTTGTTCAGTTTCCATGTAGTTAAGTGGTTTTGAGTGAGGTTCTTAATCCTGAGTTCTAGTTTTATTGCACTGTGGTCTGAGAGACAGTTTGTGATAATTTCTGTTCTTTTACATTTGCTGAGGACTGCTTTACTTCCATCTACAATTTCTATTGCGTTGCCCCTTTCTTCTTCTCCGCTGGCTAAAAACATACTCAAAAATAAAAGTAACATAATGCTTTCTTCTGACCCTTTTCTGTCCTGACCTTCTATTCAATTGCTATTCTTCCACATTTTTCCCACAAAAGGCCTCTCCTCAGCTACTCAGATCAAGGTACAAGGACCACCAGCATCAGCATCACCTGAGAACTTTTTAAAAATGCAGAATCCCAAGTCAGCTGAATCACAGTGTGAATTGTTAACTAGGTTTCCCGCTGATTTTCTATGAAAATTTCTGGTCTATACGGAGTGTATATGACAAATTATATACATGTGTGGCCATGCAGACATGCTTATTCTCACCTATGGCAAATAGAACACAGCTCTCCATGGTCAGGTGCTTCCATCCCTAATGGCTTCCCACCAGTGAGAAAGACATTAAGAGTCAGAATACTTTTGCTGTAATTCTCTGGTAAATTTTGGTACTAGAAGGTCACTTTATATTCTTCCCAAATTTCTAACCACACCCAATCTTTTCCTAAACAATCATTTCATCATCCTCCATTATATAAACCTGATTCTTGTTCCTTCATGTACTCTCTGTACGCTCTGTCTTTCTCAGTCTTCATTTCCTCTTTTACTACTTTCTTCTTTCTTATTTTCTCATTGTCCTCAGGTCTTGGAATATCTTGAATTCAAACTAATAATTCACCTCCTTCTCAGCACTCTCAATATAGTCTTTTGCCAACACCTGATGAGACATATAACTTATGACCATTGCACTTCTCTTTTTTTCCATGGTTTGCATTTAGGAGGTAATTTTCTTCAGCTATTAGAGCATATCCTTCCTCATCATTTTAGAGAAATACTTGGTCAAATGACCTTTTAAATAAAAGATGGTTCTTACCTTCTAATTTTCCACTTATTTTATCCATTTCTTTTTGATGTGTAGCCTTGGGTACACACACATCCTTCTGTGAAACAGTCTCACGGAGACTCTGTTAAAAGTAATATCAATAAATAATTTCAATGGAAAAATCCTAATAATGAAGATTATCAAAATTTCCTAATTAAAATCTTTTTTTAAAAAAAAGTCCTATTTTGCAAGCAATTCAACTTAAGAGCAGACACGTATAAAAAAAAACATTTTAATAGAAAACCTCACATAACCCTCTCTACATCAAGCTGATCTTTATGTCCATGTGGCCATTAACTCGGTGACTGAGCAGGAAAAACAAATCATATACACGAAAAAATTCAATCGTGCATATTTCAAAACGTATCTCTCTTAAAAATATCTAACATGTTGTCGTCCTCAACAACAATAAATATGACATTTCAAACAAAATACAATACTCTTGCTACTTGCCATAACAGATACTGCATTAAACATGTAAAATATGCATGATCATACAATTGTCTAATGTTAAAAATGATGCCTGTCATGAAGAGAACTTTTAGAGTCTGTCATAGAATGTATGTACAGAATGTTGAAAAAGCTGCTTTATTTTGATAAACAAGGGCTTAAAATCAGCAACAAGTTTTTGACAAAATTTATGGTGATAAAAAAGTGCTTGAATAGAATGCAAATGCAGTAAGAAAAAAATTATGTCATGTCTAAATAAAAGCAAATAAGTATTAAAGTCTTTTTGTCCAATTACAAATCAGATAAAATCTACCTGTCTATTGACTTCCACCCTTTGCTGTTACCACCAGGCAGCAGCTGCTTGTTTCTAAGAGGTCAGATACTTTCTATGTCTTTCCGCCGTTGTGACCTTAAAATACATCACTATTATTTGACGCTCATGCTGCTGCAGCTTGACTGTCATAAAGGGACTCAAGGAGTTCCATTTGTGAAAATATAATTTATATTTTTCAAAAGACTACTCAACCAATACTCTTGTTATTATACTCCCACAAGGTTTCCTATTCCTCATGCTTTTCTTTCTGCTGAAATGTTCCTTCAGATCTATACTGAACAATAAAGATATGTCAATACGTTCAAGTCCCAGGCATTAACTTTTCAGGTCCCAACTTTTACAATACTGCAGCTTAAACTGTCTCTCTATGAATCCAATTAGAACTTTTGTACATCTAGATATAAGACAGAATCATATATTTGCCCAGAGCTGGACTCAGTGTAATTCTTTTGCTTTTAGACAAACGTACTTCAGATCCCATGTGAATTTCTAGTGAATTCTAACTCTTATTATTTCCACTGTACCACACGGGCTTCTTAAATTAATCCTACAAATTCACACAATATCACTGTGAAGCAGTAATCTACTTAGCACATAGATTCTCTATTAAGCATATTCTGAAAAATATCAAAAATAATTTGCGGGTGACATATGCAGAGGTGAGAAAATAAAGTCTAAGCATCTGATTTTATGTTTTCATATCATGCAATACTAATATTTAAAAAAATCAATAACACATAGTACCTCAGAATCCCAAGAATTTTCTTCAACCTTCTTTTGTTTTGATTCTGAAGGGAACATCTGATCTATAAAAGGTTAATCACAGATACATTCATGAGAACATTTCTCTACTATACATTTTAAAAACATATACAAATCTACTTTCATTCACGAATCTGTGGTTCCTCCTCTGTAGCCCGTATATTCTTTTTGTTGATTACAATGACTACTTCCTATAGTCAATCCGTTAGAATTGAAATCTGAAAAGTCTGAAAATTAACATTATTTCATTAGAATGCACAAAAATATAAATTTGACTAACTTCTATGAATTATTTCTTCACAAAGCAGTCACATACTCTTCTACTCTGAAACAAGGTATATCCTATATTTCCTGTTCATTCAGAAAACTTTAATTACCTACCATCTCTCATTTCTTTGTAAATTTTTATTTGGTAGTATTACTTACGTTGATTGACTCAGCAATCTCTATTACGCAGTTCTTCAAAAAAGATGATTTATCAATGAATAAGATTTTTTAGGAATATTAACTTTTTGATGTCAGTCAACTATATGTCCAACCCTTTTACATTTCAATATGCTATGACAGTGTATTGGGTGTGGTTTGGGTATGTATATGTTTTAGGAAGATAAGCTTAAAAAACTTTTATTGCATATGAATTAAGAACTGCTTTAATTACAATGACATACTTCTTCCCTAATGCAACAATGCCTTCAGAGTCAGCTTGTGACACCTTGGAGAAACATGAGAAATGTATAGGAAAAAATAATTGCCTTAAGTAATCCAACGTTCCCACATGTTATAGGATAAAATCAAGGCCCACTCAAGACTTGAGGAGTTCTCAGGAACATGAGACAGAAAATGAATTTATACCAAAAATAACGTTGAAGTTTCTTTATCAGCACAAAGTACAAATTACAACTATTTGAATCAGGTTAAAGAAAAAAGCAAACATGCACAACTAAAACTTAAAAGACCATTTCATCATTAAGGGTACGTATATCATTTGACATCCATCAATTGTATACCTGATTTTCAAAAGTAAATTTAACTTGTGATCACAGCATAGCTAACGTTCATATTTCATGCAGAGTGTCGAAGAAACTTAAATCATACTTTGGTAAGCCACCGTTTTCACTCATTTTTGGAAGTGAACCCTGGATAGTTTCAGAGATACAACGTGTTGCAACACCATATCTCTAAGAAGCTCTGGGGCACAGTTCAAATTCTTGGTGGAATGCATGATTGAACAAGGAAATATCTTAAATATTTTACTTTTAATTTCTAATAACCAAAAAATCAGCAGATAAAACTAACCTTTTAAAGATGCAGAAATCTGCATGTTTTCATTTTTATTTATTACTTATCAGCATAAAAATTGTGCAGTTAACTATGGTACTGTCATAAAATGGAATTTTATAAATAACCTAATATTAAAAACACAGTTAACTGTGTCCTATACGGATGTTTCTAAAAATTATAATGCTGATCAAAAACGAATGTTGCCGAACATTACACTGCACAACCATCTACATATTAGAAGTTGAAAAAAATTGTACATATTAAATATGACCACGCACACATGTTGTAAAATGTTTAAACATGCATAAGAATAGTTTTAAAAAACAGTTTAGAATATTGGTTACTTCTGGGCAATAAATGGTACTAGTGTAAAAAGACTCTAAAGCCAAACACTTCAGAATCACAGTTTCATGAAAAAGTGTGTTTATCAAATATTCACAAAGAAATGAATAATTCTTTTCCTCATCTTCACAAGGTAAAGTTACCACACACATACACAGGCACACACAGGCACACACGCAGACACACACACATAAACACACAGAGTTCACTAATCCGAGTTACTGATTTTCTTAGGATTCTCAAAGTGACAACACTGGAAACGAGGTAATTCAAGTTAAAACACGAGTGTTATATCAGTAAAAGATGGGATCCCCGAAATAAACCGTGGAATTTGAATCAAGCTTCGAAGAACTAAAAAAAGAAATTGGAGTTTCAACATTCACCTTCTTGAATCTTTAAGAAATACAGAAGTTCAAAATAGAAAACATTACAGTTTCAGGATACAAAAGTAGAAACATCTGAGATTAAGGCTACATTTTTTAAAAAAAATATTGAAAATTACTGTGCTTGTAATACCAGCTTTTCAAACATCAATACCAGTATTGGCATTACCTAGATCAAAACTTATCATCAAAGTTGAAAAAAATAAAGCATTGGGGATAGAAAGACCATCAAAATGTTCAATATTGAAATATTGGTCTTCGCATAGTTACATTGAAAAATGTACCTGCTCTCAATGTTTGTTCATTCTTCAATTCCAAGGCTTTATTTGGAACAGACTTTTGCATTTCAATGGCAGGCTAAATGGGGTTGGAAGCAAAATGATTAATAAAGAATGTATACTTCACAAAATACATAGTTAATAAGTCATTCAAAATGAAATCATAAAACTAAATACCTCGAAGGCAGATGGCTTCTCGGGAGGCTCTAAAAAGCAAAAGAGATTTATCATCAATCATAAGTAAATATGACAAGCCAGCCACAAATGAATGCCGTGATAGTATCTAACTGACTCCTCTTGCTCCAATTGGAGAATGAATACTTTAGATTTGGAAAGTTTTCTTTTGGTTTGTTTAGGACACACACACGACAAGAATACACTGAAGAAAATATAAATACAGGTTTCACAGATCATGCAGTTAAGACTTCAAGAGCGAGATTGTGTTTCACGTGTAAACAGGGTTGATATGAGAAAATAAATGTCAAAGCTGAACATGGAATGCTACGCCACGTACTTAATGAAACACATTAGAATCACTTATATTATTCCATTCATCCTGTTCTTTAACATAGCCTATCTTCGGAAAGGTACATGGTTATGATGAGAGTTCAGCTGAATGTACAACTGACATCTCGTCACTGAAGTGTTTTGAATTGATCAGCTTGGATATACACTTAGGTCATAATACTTAAAATGAATATTCATTTTTTTCCATAACCATAGGGTGTAATCATATGCCTATATTTCTGTATCCTCTGCTTTATTCATCTGAATGCTTCTTGATCCACTCATGCAAGAAGATGTGTAAAACTCATCATGGAAATAATCTACACTAAGCTTTCAATATTGACATATTTCTATAAAAATTTATTGCAATAGATGAATTAAACATAAATAACTTTTTTAATTGTTAAGTCACCACAATATTTATCTTAAAAAGCAATCTTATTTTTGAAGTATAAATTCAGTATTTTTACAGTTCCTACAATTCGTCTGGTTCAGTGTATCATTAGTCTATAATAAATTTTTATGGAATGGCAATTTTACCAAAACAACACACTTCCTTAAACATAAACCCAATGTTCTTAGTTTCCAATATATCTCATTTCAATAGCTAACATCAACAAAATATATATATTTGTCATGCCTCATTGTAACAGAAAAACCTAATGTGTCACTGTGGTTCCCCCAATTCTAGTAGGACTCCTGCTTCCGGTAGTCTCTGGAGTGCCCACAGTCTACATTCTGGAGTGCAAATAATCTACATGCATCTGAAGTGAGTTCACTCAACTGTTTTGCTCAGAGTCTCCAGAATTACCTGCCTACATTCTTTCTTGTTTGTCCCCTGTTACCTGCCTAGAATGCTTCTACTACAAAAAAAAAAAAAAAAAAATAGAAAATATAAAAAAACCTCTAACTCTGTAGAATTCTTCCCATACAACACTGTTTCAAATTTATTTGTTCAACACTTCCTTTCTCTTTGTTTAGTGATAGTATCTTAAATCTATAATTTCTGTTTATCTTTTCCTTCTTCTTCTCTGGCTAAAAGCATACCCAGAAATAAAAGCAATATAATGCATTCTCTTGACCCTGTTATGTCTTGACCTTCTATCCAACTGCTCTTCTTCCAATTTTTCCCATCAAAGGCCTCTCCTTTTGCAACTCAGAGCAAGCTCCAAGGACCACCAGCAGCAGCATCGCCTGAGAAATTATTAGAAATGCGTGCCACCACGTCCGGCTAATTTTTTGTATTTTTAGTAGAGACAGGGTTTCACTGTGTTAGTCAGGATGGTCTCGATCTCCTCACCTAGTGATCTGTCAGTCACGGCCTCCCAACGTGCTGGCATTACAGGCGTGAGCCACCGCACCCGGTCACCATTTTTTAAATAAATATGTGTAACTATCTTTTGTTTATGTTTTCTAAAGTAATGTGGTTGACAATTATATTAGGTATACTTTAAATATAAAACTGCTGGAGTTACAACCAGATGCTTTATTCTCAAGGCATCAATATCTTCTGAACTAGCATGTGAAGCCGTGGAGAATTTTCACAGTTTATATGAGAAATGAGACCATAAACTGAACTACTTCTTCCCATGTAAACAGATGAAAAGTCTAGATCCTCTCTAGGGAAGAGAGCACAGCGCCATGAGACACAGAATGAATCTGTAACCAACTCTTTTCATTATAAACAAAATTTTGATTTTGTTTGATTTATATCTTTTTGAAAAAGAAAAAGAGAAAAAAGACTCAGACGTGCAACTTCAGACATTATTTCATATACAAGAGCCCATTTGTTATTTGGCACTTTAAAACCTTATGCATTTTTGAAAATTCTTGTTCTAACTTCTGATCTGAGCATCTCTGAAGTTCAACAAATACACCGGGGGCCTAATAGTTCACATAATGTTTTTCCTATTTCTTCTATTTACTGATATTTTCTAAGAAGTGTAAACTAAAATTTTTCAGACTCATGACATGTCACAATGTCATAATTTTCATGGTTAACAACTAACAGTTGTAATGCATATTGGAAAGTAGGACTTTTCCAATTCGTGTATTTTAAATATTTTCATTTTAATTTCTAACAGTGGATGAAGCAGTAAATACTCCCACTTCAGTAAAAGCTCTGTGATATCAGCTGCCATTTAATTTCGACTTTTAGTGGCTAGAAAAGACGGTCTAATTAAATGTGTTTTAGAGTTAACATGGCAAACTATGAGGTCTTAAATCAAAGCAGAGCTAATTGTATTGGGTCCATCTAAAATATTCGATAAGCAAACAAGGAAGTTCCAGGACAATACGTACAGTGTACAACTATTTATTGAAAATTTCAGACATCGGCCGGGCACGGTGCCTCACGCCTGTAATTCCAGTACTTTGGGAGGCCGAGACGGGCGCATCACAAGGTCAGGAGATCCGGATCAGACCATCCTGGCTAACACACTGAAACCCTGTCTCTACTAAAAATACAAAACATTAGCCAGGCGTGGTGGCACGCGCCTGGAGTCCCAGCTACTCGGGAGGCTGAGGCAGGAGAATGGCGTGAACCCGGGAGGCAGAGCTTGCATGAGCCGAGATGGCGCCATGGCACTCCAGCCTGGTCGAGCTCAAAAAAACAAAAACAAAACAAAACAAAAAAACTGAAGAAAGAAATGCAAACAAAAAAAAGGAAGAAAATTGAAGACATGAAAACAAATTCTACACATAGCCTATAAGACATGAAAACAAATTCTACACATAGTCTATAACCACACATATGTTGTGAGCTTTTGTGTTTTTATTTCTTTGCTTTTTCAGATGGAGTCTCACTCTGTCACTCAGGCTAAAGTGGCACAAGCTCGGCTCATGCAACTTCTGCCTCCTACGTTCAAGCCATTCTCCTGCCTCAGCCTCCAGAGTAGCTGAGATGACAGGCACCCACCACCACAACCGGCTACTTTTTGTTATGTTTAGTAGAGATGGGGTTTCACTAATTTGACCAGGCTGGTCTGGGACTCCTGACCTTAACTTATCTGTCTGCCTTTCTCTCCCAAACTGCTATCATTACAGGCACGTGCCACCGTGCACGGCCTATTGTAAAATGTTGTAAACGTTCACGGGAATGACAACAAGAACTAATTCAGGCTCTTTTGTACCTCTAGGCAATTCATTACAGTAGCATTAAAAGACACCAAGGCCAAATGCTTTGGGGTCACTCTTCTAAAACACCGTGTCTAGACAAGAGTCATCAAGTAATGATTGCTTGACTGATTTTTTAAAATTATAAGTCACACAAACACACAGTCATCTAATAAAAAAAAAACTGATTTTCTTAAGATTCTCAGAGTGGTAACACTCACAACTGTCATGTCAGCAAGTGGAACTTTCTTCTAAGTAAACATCAGAATTCCAATCAGCCTTTGAACCACTGCAAATATTTCACAGTCTCAAAATTCACCTACCTTAAAACCAAGCGCGTACAGAAATTGCAAATTGGAAACTTTATCCGATCAGGACATTAAAGTAGAACCACATGAGGTAAAGCAGAATTTTTTTTCTAAATCTCTAAATCTTAGGCTTATAAATGGCATTTTCTCAAACAGAAATACTCACATTGGCATTATTTGTATCGAAATTTCCCATCAAATTATGAATAGAAAACAACATTGGGAATGAAAAGTCTCACAGCATTTCAAATATTTTAATATTCTTCTTTCCAGAGTAAAATTAAAATTACAAAATTTACCTGCTTTGAAAGTTTGCATGTCCATCAATTCTAAGGCTTTAGTTGGAATAGAAACTTTCATTCTGCAGGGAGCCTAAATGGGTTTAGAAACAAAACAATTAATATACAATGTATACTTCATAAAATATGTAGTTAATACTCAAGATAAAAATATAAAAGTTATTACCTTCAGAAAACCATCATTATCAGGAGACTCTAAAAGAAAAGGGACATATATAATTTATTGTATGCAAGCTTGACAAAGCCTACCGAACATTCACGCACTGTCAACATGAAGATGAATCCTCATGCTTGGATTGCAAAAGGGATTACACTAGCTTTTGGGGTCTTTTGGGTTACTGTATTTGTTATCATGCCAACGTGACAGAAATATACCTAAGACAATTTGAAAACTAGATTTCATCAAACATGCTGTGAGGATTTCAACATTGAAAATATATTTAAGGTGACAATAACTAAAGCAGAAATATCCTACTATCAGTAAGAGAAAGCGGCCGTATAAGGAAAGAAGTTGTATTTAATAAGATGACCAAGTCATGCCACACCCCACCAAAACAGAATAAATGACTAAGCTAATGGGAGAATGCTATGGCATATTGTTAAGGAAACACGTCAGAATCACTGATGTCAATATATACATGTTGCTATTATGTTCTTCAATTTGTCCTGGAGTTTAGGAATTGCAAAGTTGTGATGAGAGTTCAAAGGTACAAATGTACTTATCATTGCAGAGAATGTTCTAAATTTAGCAGCATTTCTACTTATAGAATAAAAGTTAATAAATATATTCATTTTTGTACCTCTGAGAAATACGAGTATTTTCACATTCATAGGGTTCTCTAGTTTAGTCCTCTTAAAATTTCCTGATCCACTTATACAAAAAGGTCCAAGCATACCCATCAACAAACCAATACAGGCCAGGTGCAGTGGCTCATGCCTGTAATTCCAGCAATTTGGAAGGCCGAGGAGGGCGGATCTCTGGAGGCCAGGAGTTCCAAACCAGCCTGGCCAAAATCACTATTTTAGAAACACTGTCCCCACTAAAATTACAAAAATCAGCCAGGTATGGTGGCACAGGCCTGTAATCTCAGCTACTTGGGTGCCTGAGGTGCCAGAATCACTTGAACCCAGGAGGTGGAGGTTGCAGTGAGCCAAGATCATGCCATTGCACTCCAGCCTGGATGACAGAGCGAGACTCTGTCTCTAAAAAAGAAAAAACATGTAATGTGAAAGTATCAAAAACTAGAAGTAAACTTCCAGAGGCTTTTTATATATCATTCACCTGCATATTTCAATGTTACAATAATGTAATATCGGCTCACCACAAGCTCCGCCTCGCGGGTTCACGCCATTCTTTTGTCTCAGCCTCCGGAGTAGCTGGGACTACAGGCACCCACCACCACGCCCGGCTGATTTTTTGTATTACTAGTAGAGGTGGGGTTTCACCATGTTAGCCAGGATGGTCTGGATCTCCTGACCTCGTGATCCACCCACCTTTGCCTCCCAAAGTGCTGGGATTACAGGCGTGAGCCACCACACCTGGCCTGAAATCTTAAAATAAATGAAAAACAAGCTAATCGCTGAACAAAAATTAAAAAGTTGCTGTAGAATGACAACAACATTGTACAACCATTTATATATGATTTTTGCAAAAAGTGTTAATACCAATATGTATATGCTGACTGATAAGGAGAAAACTGATCTGGAATCACAGGAGCAAATCATGACACTGAGAAAATAAATGCAAAAGCTGAACGTAGAATGCTACACCATGTGTCTTTAAGGCAACACATTATAATAATTTATATCATTGCATTACAAACATTCATCATGTTCTTTAATATGTCCTGTCATTGAGAAGCCACACAGTTCGGATGAGAGTTCAGCTGAATGTAGAATTGACATCTCATCAGAAAAAGTGTTATGAATTGATCAGCTTGGATATATATTTAGAGCATAATATTAAATATAAATATTCCTTGATTTTCATACCCATATACTGGAATAGTATGCCAACATTTTTGTAATTTCTAGCTTACTCATCTCAATATCTCTTAATCCACTCATGGAGGAAGATGTACAAATCTCATCAAGGAATAGCAAATTTAATAAGCTTTCAATATTGATGTATTTCATTTAAATTTAGTTGCAACAGACTTTTAAATATTAATAACATTTTCTATGTTAAAATCAGTAAAATACCTACGAATAACAACAATTTAGGTATTCAAGTCATAAATTCAGAGTTTTATGGTTTTTAAAATTAGTCTGGTTTCGTGTAGCATGTTATTTGCTAATGAGGTTTCATAAAATGGCAATTTTACCAACACAATTTGCTTCCTTAAAAATAAAGCCAAGGTTCTTACATTCAAGTATATCTTATTCAAATTGTGAACGTCAAAAACATACATACATACATACATCTATATATATATATCTATATATTGATGCTTCATATTAATAAAGATTATTAATGAGTCACTGAGGTTTAGTCCAATTCTAGTAATCCTCATGATTCCAGTAGTCTCCAGAGCACCCACACTCTAGCACTCTGCAGTAAAACTTTTCTAAATGCTTCCGAAGTGAGCTCACTCCATTTTCCTTCATAGAAAATCCAAAATCATCTAGCTGGATTCTCTCTTGTCCCCTGCTTCCTGCCTCACAATCTCTCTGCTTTAGCAAAAATAATCACTAGACTTCTGCTCTTGATTCTTCCCATTCGACACCTGTTAACATTATTTTTTCCAACTCTTTCCTTTTACTTTGAGGAGTGGTAGTATCTTCCATCTATAATTTCTATTGCATTGCTCCTTTCTTCTTCTCCCCTGACTAAAAACATCCTCAAAATTAAGAGCACCATGATGCTTTCTCCTGACCTTTTCTGTCCTGACCTTCTATCCAGTTGCTCTGCTTCCACATTATTCCCACAAAAGGCCTCTCCTCTTGCAACCCAGAGCAACGTCCAAGGACCACCAGCATCAGCATCACCTGAGAACTTTTTAAAAATGCAGAATCCCAAGTCGGCTGAATCTCAGTGTGAATTGTTAACAAGGTTTTCAGCTGACTTTCTAAAGTTTGAAAACCTCTGGTCTATACAGAGTGTATATGACAATTTATATACATGTGTGGCCATGCAGATATGCTTATTCTCACCTATTGCAAATAGAACACAGCTCTCCATGGTCAGGTGCTTCCATCCCTAATGGCTTCCCACAAGTGAGAAAGACATTAAGAGTCAGAATATTTTTGCTGTAATTCTCTGGTAAATTTTGGTTCTAGAAGGTCACTTTATATTCTTCCCAAATTTCTAACCATACCCGATCTTTTCCTAAGCAATCATTTCATTTTATCATCCTCCATTACATAAACCTGCTTCTTGTTCCTTCATATACTCTCTGTACGCTCTGTCTTTCTCAGTCTTCATTTACTCTATTACTACTTTCTTCTTTCTTATTTTCTCATTTTCCTCACGTCTTGGAATATCTTGAATTTAAACTAGTAATTCAGCTCCTCTTCAGCACTCACAATATAGTCTGTTGCCAATGCCTGATGAGACACATAGCTTATGACCATTGCACTTCTCTTTTTTTCCATGGTTTGCATTTAGGAGGTAATTTTCTTCAGCTACTAGAGGATATCCTTCCTCATCAATTTAGAGAAATATTTGGTCAAATGATTTTTAAATAAAAAACGGTTCTTACCTTCTAATTTTCCATTTATTTTATCTATTTCTTTTTGATGCGTAGCCTTGGGTAAACACACATCCTTCTGTGAAACAGTCTCACAGAGACTCTGTTAAAAGTAATAGCAATAAATAATTTCAATGGATAAATCCTAGTAATGAAGAGTATCAAAATTTCCTAATTAAATTCTTTTTTAAAAACACAATTTCCTCCTTTGCAAACAATTCGACTTAAGAGCAGATACATGTAGAAAACAAACACATTTTGATAGAAAACCTCACATAACCCTCTCTACATCAAGCTCATCTTTACGTTCACGTGGCCATTAACTCGGTGACTGAGCAGGAAAAACAAATCACCTTCACAAAAAATTCACTCGTGCATATTTCAAAAAGTATCTCTCTTAAAAATATCTAACTTACGTTCTAGTCCTCATCAAAAATAAATAAGAAATTTCAAACAAAATACAACACATTTGCTACTTGCCGGGACACATACAGCAGTAAACATTTAAAATATTCACGATCATAGAACTGTTTACTGTTAAAAATCATGCATGTCACGAAGAGAACTTTTAGAGTCTGTCATAGAATGTATGTACAGAATTTGAAAAAGCTGCTTTCTTTCGGTAAACAGGGGCTTAAAATAAGCAACATGTTTTTGACAAAATTTTTGGTGATAGAAAAAGTGTTTGAATAGAATGTAAATGCAGTAAGAAAAAAATTATGTCACATCTAAATGAAAGCAAACAAGTGTTAAAGTCTTTCTGTCTAATAAAATATCAGATAAAATCTACCTATTGACTTCCACCCTTTGCTGTTACCACCAGGCAGCAGCTGCTTGTTTCTAAGAGGTCAGATACTTTCTATGTCTTTCCGCCGTTGTGACCTTAAAATACATCACTATGATATGACGCTCATGCTGCTTCAGCTTGACTGCCATAAGGGGACTCAAGGAGTTCTATTTGCGAAAATATAATTTATATTTTTCAAAAGACTACTCAACCAATACTCTTGTTATTATACTCCCACAAGGTTTCCTATTCCTCATGCTTTCCTTTCTGCTGAAATGTTCCTTCAGATCTATACTGAACAATAAAGATATGTCAATACGTTCAAGTCCCAGGCATTAAATTTTCAGGTCCCAACTTTTACAATATTGCAGTTTAAAGTGTCTCTCTATGAATACAATTAGAACTTTTCTACCTCTAGATATAAGACAGAATCATATATTTGCCCATAGCTGGACTCAGTGTAATTCTTTTCCTTTTAGACAAAAGTACTCCAGATCCCATGTGAATTTCTAGTGAATTCTAAGCCTTAGTTTTTACACTATACCACTTTGGCTTCTTAAATTAATCGTACAAATTCCCAGAATTTCACTGTGAAGCAGGAATCTACTTAGCACACAGATTCTCCGTTAAGCATATACTGAAAAATATCAAAAATAATTTGGGGGTGACACATGCAGAGGTGAGAACATAAAGTCTAAGCATCTGATTTTATGTTTTCATATCATGCAATACTAATATTTAAAAAATCAATAACACATAGTACCTCAGAATCCCAAGAACTTTCTTCATAGTCCTTTTGTTTGGATTCTGATGGGAGTATCTCATCTATAAAAGGTTAATCACAGATACATTCATGAGCACAGTTCTCTACTAAAAATTTTAAAAACATATACAAATCTACTTTCATTCACGAATCTGAGGTTTTTCCTCTGTAGCCCGTATATTCTTTTTGTTGATTGCAATGACTACTTCTATAGTCATTCCAATAGAACTGAAATCTAAAAAGTCTGAAAATTAACATTATTTCATTAGAATGCAGAAAAATAGAAATTTAACTAACTTGTATGAATTATCTCTTCACAAAGCAGTCATATCCTATTCTCCTGTGAAGCGCAGTATGCCCTAGGTTTCCTGTTCATTCAGAAAACTGGAATTACCTATCATCTCTCATTTCTTTGTTACTTTTTATTTGGTAGTATTACTTACATTGATTGACTCAGCAATCTCTCTTACACAGTTCTTCAAAAAAGATGATTTATCAATGAATAAGATGTTTTAGAAATATTAACTTTTTGATGTCAGTCAACTATATGTCCAACCCTTTTACATTTCAGTATGCTATGACAGTGTATTGGGTGTGTTTTGCGTGTGTATAAGCTTTAGGAAGATAAGCTTAAAAAACTTTTATTGCGTATAAATTAAGAACTGCTTCATTTACAATGACACACTTCTTCCCTAATGCAACAATATCTTCAGAGTCAGCTTGTGACACCTTGGAGAAACATCAGAAATGTATAGGAAAATATAATTGCCTTAAGTAATCTAATGTTCCCACGTGTAATAGGATAAAATCAAGGCCCACTCAAGACTTGACGAGTTCTCAGGGACATAAGACAGAAAAAGAATTTATACCAAAAATAACGTCCAGTTTTCTTTATCAGCACAAAGTACAAATTACAACTATTTGAATCAGGTTCAGGAAAAAAGCAAACATGCACACCTAAAACTTAAAAGACCGTTTCATCACTATGCATACGTTTATCATTTGACATCCATCAACTGTATACCTGGTTTCAAAAGTAAATTTAACTTGTGATCTCAGCATAGCTCATGTTCACATTTCATGCAGAGGGTCCAGGAAACTCAAATCACACTTTGGTAAGTCACCATGTTCACTCATTTTTAGAAGCGTACCCTGGATCGTTTCAGAGATCTAACGTGTTGCCACACCATAGCTCTAAGAAGCTGTGGGGCACAGTTCAAATTCTTAGTGGAGTGTATGATTGCACAAGGAAATACTTTAAATATGTTACTTTTAATTTCTAATGACTAAGAAATCAGCAGATAAAACTAACTTTTTAAAGACTCCCAAATTTGCATGTTTTCAGTTTTATTTATTACTTCTCGGCATAAAAATTGTGCAATTAACTATGGTACTGTCATACAATGGAATTTTATAAATAACCTAATATTTAAAAACACAATTAATTGTGTCCTTTACGGATGTCTCTAAAAATTATAATGCTGATCAAAAAAGAATGTTGCCGAACACTACACTCTACAACCATGTACACATTAGAAGTTGAAAAAAATCGTACATATTAAATATGACCACGCACACATGTTGTAAAATGTTTAAACATGCATAAGAAGAGTTTCTAAAAACAGTTTAGAATATTGGTTACTTCCAGGCAATAAATGGTACTAGCGTAAAAGGACTCTAAAGCCAAATGCTTCAGAATCACAGTTTCATGAAAAAGTGTGTTTATCAAATATTCACAAAGAAATGAATAATTCCTTTCCTCATCTTTACAAGGTAAAGGTACCACACACACACAGGCACACGCAGGCACACACGCAGACACACACACACATAAACACACAGAGTTCACTAGTCCGAGTTACTGATTTTCTTAGGATTCTCAAAGTGACAACACCGGAAACAAGGTAATTCATGTTAAAACACAAGGGTTATATCAGTAAGAGATGGGATCCCCGAAGTAAACCGTGGAATTTGAATCAAGCTTCGAAGAGCTAAAAAAAGAAATTGGAGTTTCAACATTCACCTTCTTGAATCCTTAAGAAATACAGAAGTTCAAAATAGAAAACATTACAGTTTCAGGATACAAAAGTAGAAACATCTGAGATTAAGCCTACATTTTTAAAAAAAGATATTGAAAATTACTGTGCTTGTAATACCAGCTTTTCAAACATCAATACCAGTATTGGCATTACCTAGATCAAATCTTTTCATCAAAGTTGAAAAAAATAAAGCATTGGGGATAGAAGGACCATCAAAATGTCCAATATTGAAATATTGGTCTTTGCATAGTTCCATTAAAAAATTTACCTGCTCTCAATGTTTGTTCATTCTTCAATTCCAAGGCTTTATTTGGAACAGACTTTTGCATTTCAATGGCAGGCTAAATGGGGTTGGAAGCAAAATGATTAATAAAGAATGTATACTTCACAAAATACATAGTTAATAAGTCATTCAAAATGAAATCATGAAACTAAATACCTCGAAGGCAGATGGCTTCTCGGGAGGCTCTAAAAAGCAAAATAGATTTATTATCAATCATAAGTAAATATGACAAGCCAGCCACAAATGAATGCCGTGATAGTATCTAACTGACTCCTCTTGCTCCAATTGGAGAATGAATACTTTAGATTTGGAAAGTTTTCTTTTGGTTTGTTTAGGACACACACACGACAAGAATACACTGAAGAAAATATAAATACAGGTTTCACAGATCATGCAGTTAAGACTTCAAGAGCGAGATTGTGTTTCACGTGTAAAAAGGGTTGATATGAGAAAATAAATGTCAAAGCTGAACATGGAATGCTACGCCACGTACTTAATGAAACACATTAGAATCACTTATATTATTCCATTCATCCTGTTCTTTAATATAGCCTATCTTTGGAAAGGTACATAGTTATGATGAGAGTTCAGCCGAATGTACAACTGACATCTCATCACTGAAGTGTTATGAATTGATCAGCTTGGATATACACTTAGGTCATAATACTAAATATGAATATTCGTTTTTTTCCATAACCATAGGGTGTAATCATATGCCTATGATTCTGTATCCTCTACTTTATCCATCTGAATGCTTCTCGATCCACTCATGCAAGATGTGTAAAACTCATCATGGAAATAATCTATACTAAGCTTTCAATATTGACATATTTATATAAAAATTTATTGCAATAGATTAAATAAACATAAGTAACTTTTTTTACATTGTTAAGTCACCACAATATTTATCTTAAAAAGCAATCTTATTATTCAAGTATAAATTCAGTATTTTTTCAGATCCTACAATTCGCCTGGTTTGGTGTATCATTAGTCTATAATAAATTTTTGTGGAATGGCAATTTTACCAAAACAACACACTTCCTTAAACATAAAGCCAATGTTCTCAGTTTCCAATATATCTCATTTCAATAGCTAACATCAACAAAATATATATATTTCTCATGCCTGATTGTAACAGAGAAACCTAATGAGTCACTGTGGTTCCCCCAATTCTGGTAGTCTCTGGAGTGCCCACAGTCTACATTCTGGAGTGCAAATAATCTACATGCATCTGAAGTGAGTTCACTCAACTGTTCTTCTCAGAGTCTCCAGAATTACCTGCCTACATTCTTTCTTGTTTGTCCCGTTACCTGACTTGAATGCTTCTACTAAAAAAAAAAAAAAAAAAAAAGAAATTAAAAAAAAACCTCTAACTCTGTAGAATTCTTCCCATACAACACTGTTTCAAATTTATTTGTTCAACATTTCCTTTCTCTTTGTTTAGTGATAGTATCTTAAATCTATAATTTCTGTTTATCTTTTTCTTCTTCTTCTCTGGCTAAAAGCATACCCAGAAATAAAAGCAATATAATGCATTCTCTTGACCCTGTTATGTCTTGACCTTCTATCCAACTGCTCTTCTTCCACTATTTTCCCATGAAAGGCCTCTCCTTTTGCTACTCAGACCAAGCTCCAAGGACCACCAGCAGCAGCATCGCCTGAGAAATTATTAGAAATGCGTGCCACCACGTCCGGCTAATTTTTTGTATTTTTAGTAGAGACAGGGTTTCACCGTGTTAGTCAGGATGGTCTCGATCTCCTAACCTCGTGATCTGCCAGTCACGGCCTCCCAACGTGCTGGCGTTACAGACGTGAGCCACCGCACCCGGTCACCATTTTTTAAATAAATAAGTGTAACTATCTTTTGTTTATGTTTTCTAAAGTAATGTGGTTGACAATTATATTAGGTATACTTTAAATATAAAACTGCTGGAGTTACAACCAGATGCTTTATTCTCAAGGCATCAATATCTTCTGAACTAGCATGTGAAGCCGTGGAGAATTTTCACAGTTTATATGAGAAATGAGACCATAAACTGAACTACTTCTTCCCATGTAAACAGATGAAAAGTCTAGATCCTCTCTAGGGAAAAAGAGAGCACAGTGCCATGAGACACAGAATGAATCTGTAACCAACTCTTTTCATTATAAACAAAATTTTGATTTTGTTTGATTTATATCTTTTTAAAAAAGAAAAAGAGAGAAAAGACTCAGAGGTGCAACTTCAGACATTATTTCATATACAAGAGCCCATTTGTTATTTGGCACTTTAAAACCTTATGCATTTTTGAAAATTCTTGTTCTAGCTTCTGATCTGAGCATCTCTGAAGTTCAACAAATACACCGGGGGCCTAATAGTTCACATAATGTTTTTCCTATTTCTCCTATTTACTGATATTTTCTAAAAAGTGTAAACTAAAATTTTTCAGACTCATGACATGTCACAATGTCATAATTTTCATGGTTAATGAGTAACAGTTGTAATGCGTATTGGAAAGTAGGACTTTTCCAATTCGTGTATTTTAAATATTTTCATTTTAATTTCTAACAGTGGATGAAGCAGTAAATACTCCCACTTCAGTAAAAGCTCTGTGATATCAGCTGCCATTTAATGTCGACTTTTAGTGGCTAGGAAACACAGTCTAATTAAATGTGTTTTAGAGTTAACATGGCAAACTATGAGGCCTTAAATCAAAGCAGAGCTAATTGTATTGGGTCCATCTAAAATATTCGATAAGCAAACAAGGAAGTTCCAGGACAATATGTACAGTGTACAACTATTTATTGAAAATTTCAGACATCGGCCGGGCACGGTGCCTCATGCCTGTAATTCCAGTACTTTGGGAGGCCGAGACGGGCGGACCACAAGGTCAGGAGATCCGGATCAGACCATCCTGGCTAACACACTGAAACCCTGTCTCTACTAAAGATACAAAACATTAGCCGGGCGTGGTGGCAGGCACCTGGAGTCTCAGCTACTCAGGAGGCTGAGGCAGGAGAATGGCGTGAACCCGGGAGGCAGAGCTTGCGTGAGCCGAGATGGCGCCATGGCACTCCAGCCTGGGTGATCTCAAAAAAACAAAAACAAAACCAAACAAAAAAACTGAAGAAAAAAATACAAACAAAAAAAAAGAAAATTTAAGACATGAAAACAAATTCTACACACAGCCTATAAGACATGAAAACAAATTCTACACATAGTCTATAACCACACATATGTTGTGAGTTTTGTGTTTTTATTTCTTTACCTTTTCAGATGGAGTCTCACTCTGTCACTCAGGCTAAAGTGGCACAAGCTCGGCTCATGCAACTTCTGCGTCCTAGGTTCAAGCCATTCTCCTGCCTCAGCCTCCAGAGTAGCTGAGATGACAGGCACCCACCACCACAACCGGCTATTTTTTGTTATGTTTAGTAGAGATGGGGTTTCACTAGTTTGACCAGGCTGGTCTGGGACTCCTGACCTTAACTTATCTGCCCGCCTTTGTCTCCCAAACTGCTAGGATTCCAGGCATGTGCCACCGTGCAAGGCCTGTTGTAAAATGTTGTAAACGTTCACGGGAATGACAAAAACTACTTCAGGCTCTTTTGTATCTCTAGGCAATTCATTACAGTAGCATTAAAACACACCAAGGCCAAATGCTTTGGGGTCACTCTTCTAAAATGCGGTGCCTAGCAAAGAGTCATCAAGTAATGATTGCTTGACTGATTTTTTAAAATTATAAGTCACACACACACACAGTCATCTATTAAAAAAAAAACTGATTTTCTTAAGATTCTCAGAGTGGTAACACTCACAACTGTCATGTCAGCAAGTGAAACTTTCTTCTGAGTAAACATCAGAATTCCAATCAGCCTTCGAACCACTGCAAATATTTCACAGTCTCAAAATTCACCTACCTTAAAACCAAGCGCGTACAGAAATTGCAAATTGGAAACTTTATCCGATCAGGACATTAAAGTAGAACCACATGAGGTAAAGCAGAATTTTTTTTCTAAATCTCTAAATCTTATGCTTGTAAATGGCATTTTCTCAAACAGAAATACTCACATTGGCATTATTTGTATCGAAATTTCCCATCAAATTATGAATAGAAAACAACATTGGGAATGAAAAGTCTCACAGCATTTCAAATATTTTAATATTCTTCTTTCCAGAGTAAAATTAAAATTACAAAATTTACCTGCTTTGAAAGTTTGCATGTCCATCAATTCTAAGGCTTTAGTTGGAATAGAAACTTTCATTCCGCAGTTAGCCTAAATGGGTTTGGAAAGAAAACAATTAATATACAATGTATACTTCATAAAATATGTAGTTAATACTCAAGATAAAAATATAAAAGTTATTACCTTCAGAAGACCATCTTTAACAGGAGACCCTAAAAGAAAAGGGACATATATAATTTATTGTATGCAAGCTTGACAAAGCCTACCGAACATTCACGCACTGTCAACATGAAGATGAATCCTCATGCTTGGATTGCAAAAGGGATTACACTAGCTTTTGGGGTCTTTTGGGTTATTGCATTTGTTATCATGCCAACGTGACAGAAATATACCTAAGAAAATTTGAAAACTAGATTTCATCAAACATGCTGTGAGGATTTCAACATTGAAAATATATTTAAGGTGACAATAACTAAAGCAGAAATATCCTACTATCAGTAAGAGAAAGCGGCCGTATTAGGAAAGAAGTTGTATTTAATAAGATGACCAAGTCATGCCACACCCCACCAAAACAGAATAAATGACTAAGCTAATGGGAGAATGCTATGGCATATTGTTAAGGAAACACGTCAGAATCACTTATGTCAATATATACATGTAGCTATTATGTCCTTCAATTTGTCCTGGAGTTTAGGAATTGCAAAGTTGTGATGAGAGTTCAAAGGTACAACGTACTTATCATTGCAGAGAATGTTCTAAATTCAGCAGCATATCTACCTATAGAATAAAAGTTAATAAATATATTCATTTTTGTACCTCTGTGAAATACGAGTATTTTCACATTCATAGGGTTCTCTAGTTTAGTCCTCTTAAAATTTCCTGATCCACTTATACAAAAAGGTCCAAGCGTACCCATCAACAAACCAATACAGGCCAGGTGCAGTGGCTCATGCCTGTAATTCCAGCACTTTGGAAGGCTGAGGAGGGCGGATCTCTGGAGGCCAGGAGTTCCAAACCAGCCTGGCCAAAATCACTATTTTAGAAACACTGTCCCCACTAAAATTACAAAAATCAGCCAGGTATGGTGGCACATGCCTGTAATCTCAGCTACTTGGGTGACTGAGGTACCAGAATCACTTGAACCCAGGAGCTGGAGGTGGCAGTGAGCCAAGATCATGCCATTGCACTCCAGCCTGGATGACAGAGCGAGACTCTGTCTCTAAAAAAGAAAAAACACGTAACGTGAAAGTATCAAAAACTAGAAGTAAACTTCCAGAGGCTTTTTATATATCATTCACCTGCATATTTCAATGTTACAATAATGTAATATCGGCTCACCACAAGCTCCGCCTCGCGGGTTCACGCCATTCTCTTGCCTCAGCCTCCGGAGTAGCTGGGACTACAGGCACCCACCACCACGCCCGGCTGATTTTTTGTATTTCTAGTAGAGGTGAGGTTTCACCATGTTAGCCAGGATGGTCTGGATCTCCTGACCTCGTGATCCACCCACCTTGGCCTACCAAAGTGCTGGGATTACAGGCGTGAGCCACCACACCTGGCCTGAAATCTTAAAATAAATGAAAAACAAGCTAATCGCTGAACAAAAATTAAAAAGTTGCTGTAGAATGACAACAACATTGTACAACCATTTATATATGATTTTTGCAAAAAGTGTTAATACCAATAAGTATATGCTGACTGATAAGGAGACAACTGATCTGGAATCACAGGAGCAAATCATGACACTGAGAAAATAAATGCAAAAGCTGAACGTAGAATGCTACACCATGTGTCTTTAAGGCAACACATTATAATAATTTATATCATTGCATTACAAACATTCATCATGTTCTTTAATATGTCCTGTCATTGAGAAGCCACACAGTTCGGATAAGAGTTCAGCTGAATGTAGAATTGACATCTCATCAGAAAAAGTGTTATGAATTGATCAGCTTGGATATATACTTAGAGCATAATATTAAATATAAATATTCCTTGATTTTCATACCCATATACTTGGAATATGGGTATTCATTCCCATAATGTAGGAATAGTATGCCAACATTTTTGTAATTTCTAGCTTAGTCATCTCAATATCTCTTAATCCACTCATGCAGGAAGATGTACAAATCTCATCAGGAATAGCAAATTTAATAAGCTTTCAATATTGATGTATTTCATTTAAATTTAGTTACAACAGACTTTTAAATATTAATAACATTTTCTACGTTAAAATCAGTAAAATACCTACGAATAACAACAATTTAGGTATTCAAGTCATAAATTCAGAGTTTTATGGTTTTCAAAATTAGTCTGGTTTCGTGTAGCATGTTATTTACTAATGAGGTTTTATAAAATGGCAATTTTACCAACACAATTTGCTTCCTTAAAAATAAAGCCAAGGTTCTTACATTCAAGTATATCTTATTCAAATTGTGAACGTCAAAAACATACATACATGCACACATCTATATATATATATATATATATATATATATATATATATATATATATATATATTTGACGCCTCATAGTAATAAAGAAAATTAATGAGTCACTGAGGTTTAGTCCAATTCTAGTAATCCTCATGATTCCAGTAGTCTCCAGAGCACCCACACTCTAACATTCTGCAGTAAAACTTTTCTAAATGCTTCCGAAGTGAGCTCACTCCATTTTCCTTCATAGAAAATCCAAAATCATCTAGCTGGCTTCTCTCTTGTCCCCTGCTTCCTGCCTCACAATCTCTCTGCTTTAGCAAAAATAATCACTAGACTTGTGCTCTTGATTCTTCCCATTCGACACCTGTTAAAATTATTTTTTCCCACTCTTTCCTTTTACTTTGAGGAGTGGTAGTACCTTCCATCTATAATTTCTATTGCATTGCTCCTTTCTTCTTCTCCCCTGACTAAAAACATCCTCAAAATTAAGAGGACCATGATGTTTTCTCCTGACCTTTTCTGTCCTGACCTTCTATCCAGTTGCTCTGCTTCCACATTTTTCCCACAAAAGGCCTCTCCTCTTGCTACCCAGAGCAACGTCCAAGGACCACCAGCATCAGCATCACCTGAGAACTTTTTAAAAATGCAGAATCCCAGGTCGGCTGAATCTCAGTGTGAATTGTTAACAAGGTTTTCAGCTGACTTTCTAAAGTTTGAAAACCTCTGGTCTATACGGAGTGTATATGACAATTTATATACATGTGTGGCCGTGCAGATATGCTTATTCTCACCTATTGCAAATAGAACACAGCTCTCCATGGTCAGGTGCTTCCATCCCTAATGGCTTCCCACCAGTGAGAAAGACATTAAGAGTCAGAATATTTTTGCTGTAATTCTCTGGTAAATTTTGATTCTAGAAGGTCACATTATATTCTTCCCAAATTTCTAACCATACCCGATCTTTTCCTAAACAATCATTTCATTTTATCATCCTCCATTACATAAACCTGTTTCTTGTTCCTTCATGTACTCTCTGTACGCTCTGTCTTTCTCAGTCTTCATTTACTCTATTACTACTTTCTTCTTTCTTATTTTCTCATTTTCCTCACGTCTTGGAATATCTTGAATTTAAACTAGTAATTCAGCTCCTCTTCAGCACTCACAATATAGTCTGTTGCCAATGCCTGATGAGACACATAGCTTATGACCATTGCACTTCTCTTTTTTTCCATGGTTTGCATTTAGGAGGTAATTTTCTTCAGCTACTAGAGGATATCCTTCCTCATCAATTTAGAGAAATATTTGGTCAAATGATTTTTAAATAAAAAACGGTTCTTACCTTCTAATTTTCCATTTATTTTATCTATTTCTTTTTGATGCGCAGCCTTGGGTAAACACACATCCTTCTGTGAAACAGTCTCACAGAGACTCTGTTAAAAGTAATAGCAATAAATAATTTCAATGGATAAATCCTAGTAATGAAGAGTATCAAAATTTCCTAATTAAATTCTTTTTTAAAAACACAATTTCCTCCTTTGCAAACAATTCGACTTAAGAGCAGATACATGTAGAAAACAAACACATTTTGATAGAAAACCTCACATAACCCTCTCTACATCAAGCTCATCTTTACGTTCACGTGGCCATTAACTCGGTGACTGAGCAGGAAAAACAAATCACCTTCACAAAAAATTCACTCGTGCATATTTCAAAAAGTATCTCTCTTAAAAATATCTAACTTACGTTCTAGTCCTCATCAAAAATAAATAAGACATTTCAAACAAAATACAACACATTTGCTACTTGCCGGGACACATACAGCAGTAAACATTTAAAATATTCACGATCATAGAACTGTTTACTGTTAAAAATCATGCATGTCACGAAGAGAACTTTTAGAGTCTGTCATAGAATGTATGTACAGAATTTGAAAAAGCTGCTTTCTTTCGGTAAACAGGGGCTTAAAATAAGCAACATGTTTTTGACAAAATTTTTGGTGATAGAAAAAGTGTTTGAATAGAATGTAAATGCAGTAAGAAAAAAATTATGTCACATCTAAATGAAAGCAAACAAGTGTTAAAGTCTTTCTGTCTAATAAAATATCAGATAAAATCTACCTATTGACTTCCACCCTTTGCTGTTACCACCAGGCAGCAGCTGCTTGTTTCTAAGAGGTCAGATACTTTCTATGTCTTTCCGCCGTTGTGACCTTAAAATACATCACTATGATATGACGCTCATGCTGCTTCAGCTTGACTGCCATAAGGGGACTCAAGGAGTTCTATTTGCGAAAATATAATTTATATTTTTCAAAAGACTACTCAACCAATACTCTTGTTATTATACTCCCACAAGGTTTCCTATTCCTCATGCTTTCCTTTCTGCTGAAATGTTCCTTCAGATCTATACTGAACAATAAAGATATGTCAATACGTTCAAGTCCCAGGCATTAAATTTTCAGGTCCCAACTTTTACAATATTGCAGTTTAAAGTGTCTCTCTATGAATACAATTAGAACTTTTCTACCTCTAGATATAAGACAGAATCATATATTTGCCCATAGCTGGACTCAGTGTAATTCTTTTCCTTTTAGACAAAAGTACTCCAGATCCCATGTGAATTTCTAGTGAATTCTAAGCCTTAGTTTTTACACTATACCACTTTGGCTTCTTAAATTAATCGTACAAATTCCCAGAATTTCACTGTGAAGCAGGAATCTACTTAGCACACAGATTCTCCGTTAAGCATATACTGAAAAATATCAAAAATAATTTGGGGGTGACACATGCAGAGGTGAGAACATAAAGTCTAAGCATCTGATTTTATGTTTTCATATCATGCAATACTAATATTTAAAAAATCAATAACACATAGTACCTCAGAATCCCAAGAACTTTCTTCATAGTCCTTTTGTTTGGATTCTGATGGGAGTATCTCATCTATAAAAGGTTAATCACAGATACATTCATGAGCACAGTTCTCTACTAAAAATTTTAAAAACATATACAAATCTACTTTCATTCACGAATCTGAGGTTTTTCCTCTGTAGCCCGTATATTCTTTTTGTTGATTGCAATGACTACTTCTATAGTCATTCCAATAGAACTGAAATCTAAAAAGTCTGAAAATTAACATTATTTCATTAGAATGCAGAAAAATAGAAATTTAACTAACTTGTATGAATTATCTCTTCACAAAGCAGTCATATCCTATTCTCCTGTGAAGCGCAGTATGCCCTAGGTTTCCTGTTCATTCAGAAAACTGGAATTACCTATCATCTCTCATTTCTTTGTTACTTTTTATTTGGTAGTATTACTTACATTGATTGACTCAGCAATCTCTCTTACACAGTTCTTCAAAAAAGATGATTTATCAATGAATAAGATGTTTTAGAAATATTAACTTTTTGATGTCAGTCAACTATATGTCCAACCCTTTTACATTTCAGTATGCTATGACAGTGTATTGGGTGTGTTTTGCGTGTGTATAAGCTTTAGGAAGATAAGCTTAAAAAACTTTTATTGCGTATAAATTAAGAACTGCTTCATTTACAATGACACACTTCTTCCCTAATGCAACAATATCTTCAGAGTCAGCTTGTGACACCTTGGAGAAACATCAGAAATGTATAGGAAAATATAATTGCCTTAAGTAATCTAATGTTCCCACGTGTAATAGGATAAAATCAAGGCCCACTCAAGACTTGACGAGTTCTCAGGGACATAAGACAGAAAAAGAATTTATACCAAAAATAACGTCCAGTTTTCTTTATCAGCACAAAGTACAAATTACAACTATTTGAATCAGGTTCAGGAAAAAAGCAAACATGCACACCTAAAACTTAAAAGACCGTTTCATCACTATGCATACGTTTATCATTTGACATCCATCAACTGTATACCTGGTTTCAAAAGTAAATTTAACTTGTGATCTCAGCATAGCTCATGTTCACATTTCATGCAGAGGGTCCAGGAAACTCAAATCACACTTTGGTAAGTCACCATGTTCACTCATTTTTAGAAGCGTACCCTGGATCGTTTCAGAGATCTAACGTGTTGCCACACCATAGCTCTAAGAAGCTGTGGGGCACAGTTCAAATTCTTAGTGGAGTGTATGATTGCACAAGGAAATACTTTAAATATGTTACTTTTAATTTCTAATGACTAAGAAATCAGCAGATAAAACTAACTTTTTAAAGACTCCCAAATTTGCATGTTTTCAGTTTTATTTATTACTTCTCGGCATAAAAATTGTGCAATTAACTATGGTACTGTCATACAATGGAATTTTATAAATAACCTAATATTTAAAAACACAATTAATTGTGTCCTTTACGGATGTCTCTAAAAATTATAATGCTGATCAAAAAAGAATGTTGCCGAACACTACACTCTACAACCATGTACACATTAGAAGTTGAAAAAAATCGTACATATTAAATATGACCACGCACACATGTTGTAAAATGTTTAAACATGCATAAGAAGAGTTTCTAAAAACAGTTTAGAATATTGGTTACTTCCAGGCAATAAATGGTACTAGCGTAAAAGGACTCTAAAGCCAAATGCTTCAGAATCACAGTTTCATGAAAAAGTGTGTTTATCAAATATTCACAAAGAAATGAATAATTCCTTTCCTCATCTTTACAAGGTAAAGGTACCACACACACACAGGCACACGCAGGCACACACGCAGACACACACACACATAAACACACAGAGTTCACTAGTCCGAGTTACTGATTTTCTTAGGATTCTCAAAGTGACAACACCGGAAACAAGGTAATTCATGTTAAAACACAAGGGTTATATCAGTAAGAGATGGGATCCCCGAAGTAAACCGTGGAATTTGAATCAAGCTTCGAAGAGCTAAAAAAAGAAATTGGAGTTTCAACATTCACCTTCTTGAATCCTTAAGAAATACAGAAGTTCAAAATAGAAAACATTACAGTTTCAGGATACAAAAGTAGAAACATCTGAGATTAAGCCTACATTTTTAAAAAAAGATATTGAAAATTACTGTGCTTGTAATACCAGCTTTTCAAACATCAATACCAGTATTGGCATTACCTAGATCAAATCTTTTCATCAAAGTTGAAAAAAATAAAGCATTGGGGATAGAAGGACCATCAAAATGTCCAATATTGAAATATTGGTCTTTGCATAGTTCCATTAAAAAATTTACCTGCTCTCAATGTTTGTTCATTCTTCAATTCCAAGGCTTTATTTGGAACAGACTTTTGCATTTCAATGGCAGGCTAAATGGGGTTGGAAGCAAAATGATTAATAAAGAATGTATACTTCACAAAATACATAGTTAATAAGTCATTCAAAATGAAATCATGAAACTAAATACCTCGAAGGCAGATGGCTTCTCGGGAGGCTCTAAAAAGCAAAATAGATTTATTATCAATCATAAGTAAATATGACAAGCCAGCCACAAATGAATGCCGTGATAGTATCTAACTGACTCCTCTTGCTCCAATTGGAGAATGAATACTTTAGATTTGGAAAGTTTTCTTTTGGTTTGTTTAGGACACACACACGACAAGAATACACTGAAGAAAATATAAATACAGGTTTCACAGATCATGCAGTTAAGACTTCAAGAGCGAGATTGTGTTTCACGTGTAAAAAGGGTTGATATGAGAAAATAAATGTCAAAGCTGAACATGGAATGCTACGCCACGTACTTAATGAAACACATTAGAATCACTTATATTATTCCATTCATCCTGTTCTTTAATATAGCCTATCTTTGGAAAGGTACATAGTTATGATGAGAGTTCAGCCGAATGTACAACTGACATCTCATCACTGAAGTGTTATGAATTGATCAGCTTGGATATACACTTAGGTCATAATACTAAATATGAATATTCGTTTTTTTCCATAACCATAGGGTGTAATCATATGCCTATGATTCTGTATCCTCTACTTTATCCATCTGAATGCTTCTCGATCCACTCATGCAAGATGTGTAAAACTCATCATGGAAATAATCTATACTAAGCTTTCAATATTGACATATTTATATAAAAATTTATTGCAATAGATTAAATAAACATAAGTAACTTTTTTTATATTGTTAAGTCACCACAATATTTATCTTAAAAAGCAATCTTATTATTCAAGTATAAATTCAGTATTTTTTCAGATCCTACAATTCGCCTGGTTTGGTGTATCATTAGTCTATAATAAATTTTTGTGGAATGGCAATTTTACCAAAACAACACACTTCCTTAAACATAAAGCCAATGTTCTCAGTTTCCAATATATCTCATTTCAATAGCTAACATCAACAAAATATATATATTTCTCATGCCTGATTGTAACAGAGAAACCTAATGAGTCACTGTGGTTCCCCCAATTCTGGTAGTCTCTGGAGTGCCCACAGTCTACATTCTGGAGTGCAAATAATCTACATGCATCTGAAGTGAGTTCACTCAACTGTTCTTCTCAGAGTCTCCAGAATTACCTGCCTACATTCTTTCTTGTTTGTCCCGTTACCTGACTTGAATGCTTCTACTAAAAAAAAAAAAAAAAAAAAAAAGAAATTAAAAAAAAACCTCTAACTCTGTAGAATTCTTCCCATACAACACTGTTTCAAATTTATTTGTTCAACATTTCCTTTCTCTTTGTTTAGTGATAGTATCTTAAATCTATAATTTCTGTTTATCTTTTTCTTCTTCTTCTCTGGCTAAAAGCATACCCAGAAATAAAAGCAATATAATGCATTCTCTTGACCCTGTTATGTCTTGACCTTCTATCCAACTGCTCTTCTTCCACTATTTTCCCATGAAAGGCCTCTCCTTTTGCTACTCAGACCAAGCTCCAAGGACCACCAGCAGCAGCATCGCCTGAGAAATTATTAGAAGTGCGTGCCACCACGTCCGGCTAATTTTTTGTATTTTTAGTAGAGACAGGGTTTCACCGCGTTAGTCAGGATGGTCTCGCTCTCCTCACCTCGTGATCTGCCAGTCACGGCCTCCCAACGTGCTGGCATTACAGACGTGAGCCACCGCACCCGGTCACCATTTTTTAAATAAATAAGTGTAACTATCTTTTGTTTATGTTTTCTAAAGTAATGTGGTTGACAACTATATTAGGTATACTTTAAATATAAAACTGCTGGAGTGACAACCAGATGCTTTATTCTCAAGGCATCAATATCTTCTGAACTAGCATGTGAAGCCGTGGAGAATTTTCACAGTTTATATGAGAAATGAGACCATAAACTGAACTACTTCTTCCCATGTAAACAGATGAAAAGTCTAGATCCTCTCTAGGGAAAAAGAGAGCACAGTGCCATGAGACACAGAATGAATCTGTAACCAACTCTTTTCATTATAAACAAAAGTTTGATTTTGTTTGATTTATATCTTTTTAAAAAAGAAAAAGAGAAAAAAGACTCAGAGGTGCAACTTCAGACATTATTTCATATACAAGAGCCCATTTGTTATTTGGCACTTTAAAACCTTATGCATTTTTGAAAATTCTTGTTCTAGCTTCTGATCTGAGCATCTCTGAAGTTCAACAAATACACCGGGGGCCATAATGTTTTTCCTATTTCTCCTATTTACTGATATTTTCTAAAAAGTGTAAACTAAAATTTTTCAGACTCATGACATGTCACAATGTCATAATTTTCATGGTTAATGAGTAACAGTTGTAATGCGTATTGGAAAGTAGGACTTTTCCAATTCGTGTATTTTAAATATTTTCATTTTAATTTCTAACAGTGAATGAAGCAGTAAATACTCCCACTTCAGTAAAAGCTCTGTGATATCAGCTGCCATTTAATGTCGACTTTTAGTGGCTAGGAAACACAGTCTAATTAAATGTGTTTTAGAGTTAACATGGCAAACTATGAGGCCTTAAATCAAAGCAGAGCTAATTGTATTGGGTCCATCTAAAATATTCGATAAGCAAACAAGGAAGTTCCAGGACAATATGTACAGCGTACAACTATTTATTGAAAATTTCAGACATCGGCCGGGCACGGTGCCTCATGCCTGTAATTCCAGTACTTTGGGAGGCCGAGACGGGCGGACCACAAGGTCAGGAGATCCGGATCAGACCATCCTGGCTAACACACTGAAACCCTGTCTCTACTAAAGATACAAAACATTAGCCGGGCGTGGTGGCAGGCACCTGGAGTCTCAGCTACTCAGGAGGCTGAGGCAGGAGAATGGCGTGAACCCGGGAGGCAGAGCTTGCGTGAGCCGAGATGGCGCCATGGCACTCCAGCCTGGGTGATCTCAAAAAAACAAAAACAAAACCAAACAAAAAAACTGAAGAAAAAAATACAAACAAAAAAAAAGAAAATTTAAGACATGAAAACAAATTCTACACACAGCCTATAAGACATGAAAACAAATTCTACACATAGTCTATAACCACACATATGTTGTGAGTTTTGTGTTTTTATTTCTTTACCTTTTCAGATGGAGTCTCACTCTGTCACTCAGGCTAAAGTGGCACAAGCTCGGCTCATGCAACTTCTGCGTCCTAGGTTCAAGCCATTCTCCTGCCTCAGCCTCCAGAGTAGCTGAGATGACAGGCACCCACCACCACAACCGGCTATTTTTTGTTATGTTTAGTAGAGATGGGGTTTCACTAGTTTGACCAGGCTGGTCTGGGACTCCTGACCTTAACTTATCTGCCCGCCTTTGTCTCCCAAACTGCTAGGATTCCAGGCATGTGCCACCGTGCAAGGCCTGTTGTAAAATGTTGTAAACGTTCACGGGAATGACAAAAACTACTTCAGGCTCTTTTGTATCTCTAGGCAATTCATTACAGTAGCATTAAAACACACCAAGGCCAAATGCTTTGGGGTCACTCTTCTAAAATGCGGTGCCTAGCAAAGAGTCATCAAGTAATGATTGCTTGACTGATTTTTTAAAATTATAAGTCACACACACACACAGTCATCTATTAAAAAAAAAACTGATTTTCTTAAGATTCTCAGAGTGGTAACACTCACAACTGTCATGTCAGCAAGTGAAACTTTCTTCTGAGTAAACATCAGAATTCCAATCAGCCTTCGAACCACTGCAAATATTTCACAGTCTCAAAATTCACCTACCTTAAAACCAAGCGCGTACAGAAATTGCAAATTGGAAACTTTATCCGATCAGGACATTAAAGTAGAACCACATGAGGTAAAGCAGAATTTTTTTTCTAAATCTCTAAATCTTATGCTTGTAAATGGCATTTTCTCAAACAGAAATACTCACATTGGCATTATTTGTATCGAAATTTCCCATCAAATTATGAATAGAAAACAACATTGGGAATGAAAAGTCTCACAGCATTTCAAATATTTTAATATTCTTCTTTCCAGAGTAAAATTAAAATTACAAAATTTACCTGCTTTGAAAGTTTGCATGTCCATCAATTCTAAGGCTTTAGTTGGAATAGAAACTTTCATTCCGCAGTTAGCCTAAATGGGTTTGGAAAGAAAACAATTAATATACAATGTATACTTCATAAAATATGTAGTTAATACTCAAGATAAAAATATAAAAGTTATTACCTTCAGAAGACCATCTTTAACAGGAGACCCTAAAAGAAAAGGGACATATATAATTTATTGTATGCAAGCTTGACAAAGCCTACCGAACATTCACGCACTGTCAACATGAAGATGAATCCTCATGCTTGGATTGCAAAAGGGATTACACTAGCTTTTGGGGTCTTTTGGGTTATTGCATTTGTTATCATGCCAACGTGACAGAAATATACCTAAGAAAATTTGAAAACTAGATTTCATCAAACATGCTGTGAGGATTTCAACATTGAAAATATATTTAAGGTGACAATAACTAAAGCAGAAATATCCTACTATCAGTAAGAGAAAGCGGCCGTATTAGGAAAGAAGTTGTATTTAATAAGATGACCAAGTCATGCCACACCCCACCAAAACAGAATAAATGACTAAGCTAATGGGAGAATGCTATGGCATATTGTTAAGGAAACACGTCAGAATCACTTATGTCAATATATACATGTAGCTATTATGTCCTTCAATTTGTCCTGGAGTTTAGGAATTGCAAAGTTGTGATGAGAGTTCAAAGGTACAACGTACTTATCATTGCAGAGAATGTTCTAAATTCAGCAGCATATCTACCTATAGAATAAAAGTTAATAAATATATTCATTTTTGTACCTCTGTGAAATACGAGTATTTTCACATTCATAGGGTTCTCTAGTTTAGTCCTCTTAAAATTTCCTGATCCACTTATACAAAAAGGTCCAAGCGTACCCATCAACAAACCAATACAGGCCAGGTGCAGTGGCTCATGCCTGTAATTCCAGCACTTTGGAAGGCTGAGGAGGGCGGATCTCTGGAGGCCAGGAGTTCCAAACCAGCCTGGCCAAAATCACTATTTTAGAAACACTGTCCCCACTAAAATTACAAAAATCAGCCAGGTATGGTGGCACATGCCTGTAATCTCAGCTACTTGGGTGACTGAGGTACCAGAATCACTTGAACCCAGGAGCTGGAGGTGGCAGTGAGCCAAGATCATGCCATTGCACTCCAGCCTGGATGACAGAGCGAGACTCTGTCTCTAAAAAAGAAAAAACACGTAACGTGAAAGTATCAAAAACTAGAAGTAAACTTCCAGAGGCTTTTTATATATCATTCACCTGCATATTTCAATGTTACAATAATGTAATATCGGCTCACCACAAGCTCCGCCTCGCGGGTTCACGCCATTCTCTTGCCTCAGCCTCCGGAGTAGCTGGGACTACAGGCACCCACCACCACGCCCGGCTGATTTTTTGTATTTCTAGTAGAGGTGAGGTTTCACCATGTTAGCCAGGATGGTCTGGATCTCCTGACCTCGTGATCCACCCACCTTGGCCTACCAAAGTGCTGGGATTACAGGCGTGAGCCACCACACCTGGCCTGAAATCTTAAAATAAATGAAAAACAAGCTAATCGCTGAACAAAAATTAAAAAGTTGCTGTAGAATGACAACAACATTGTACAACCATTTATATATGATTTTTGCAAAAAGTGTTAATACCAATAAGTATATGCTGACTGATAAGGAGACAACTGATCTGGAATCACAGGAGCAAATCATGACACTGAGAAAATAAATGCAAAAGCTGAACGTAGAATGCTACACCATGTGTCTTTAAGGCAACACATTATAATAATTTATATCATTGCATTACAAACATTCATCATGTTCTTTAATATGTCCTGTCATTGAGAAGCCACACAGTTCGGATAAGAGTTCAGCTGAATGTAGAATTGACATCTCATCAGAAAAAGTGTTATGAATTGATCAGCTTGGATATATACTTAGAGCATAATATTAAATATAAATATTCCTTGATTTTCATACCCATATACTGGAATAGTATGCCAACATTTTTGTAATTTCTAGCTTAGTCATCTCAATATCTCTTAATCCACTCATGCAGGAAGATGTACAAATCTCATCAGGAATGGCAAATTTAATAAGCTTTCAATATTGATGTATTTCATTTAAATTTAGTTGCATCAGATTTTTAAATATTAATAACATTTTCTATGTTAAAATCAGTAAAATACCTACGAATAACAACAATTTAGGTATTCAAGTCATAAATTCAGAGTTTTATGGTTTTCAAAATTAGTCTGGTTTCGTGTATCATGTTATTTGCTAATGAGGTTTTATAAAATGGCAATTTTACCAACACAATTTGCTTCCTTAAAAATAAAGCCAAGGTTCTTACATTCAAGTATATCTTATTCAAATTGTGAACATCAAAAACATACATACATGCACACATCTATATATATATATATTTGACGCCTCATAGTAATAAAGAAAATTAATGAGTCACTGAGGTTTAGTCCAATTCTAGTAATCCTCATGATTCCAGTAGTCTCCAGAGCACCCACACTCTAACATTCTGCAGTAAAACTTTTCTAAATGCTTCCGAAGTGAGCTCACTCCATTTTCCTTCATAGAAAATCCAAAATCATCTAGCTGGCTTCTCTCTTGTCCCCTGCATCCGATCTTTCCTAAACAATCATTTCATTTTATCATCCTCCATTACATAAACCTGCTTCTTGTTCCTTCATGTACTCTCTGTATGCTCTGTCTTTCTCAGTCTTCATTTACTCTATTACTACTTTCTTCTTTCTTATTTTCTCATTTTCCTCACGTCTTGGAATATCTTGAATTCAAACTAGTAATTCAGCTCCGCTTCAGCACTCACAATATAGTCTGTTGCCATCACCTGATGAGACACATAACTTATGACCATTGCACTTCTCTTTTTTTCCATGGTTTGCATTTAGGAGGTAATTTTCTTCAGCTACTAGAGGATATCCTTCCTCATCAGTTTAGAGAAATATTTGGTCAAATGATTTTTAAATAAAAAACGGTTCTTACCTTCTAATTTTCCATTTATTTTATCTATTTCTTTTTGATGCGCAGCCTTGGGTAAACACACATCCTTCTGTGAAACAGTCTCACAGAGACTCTGTTAAAAGTAATAGCAATAAATAATTTCAATGGATAAATCCTAGTAATGAAGAGTATCAAAATTTCCTAATTAAATTCTTTTTTAAAAACACAATTTCCTCCTTTGCAAACAATTCGACTTAAGAGCAGATACATGTAGAAAACAAACACATTTTGATAGAAAACCTCACATAACCCTCTCTACATCAAGCTCATCTTTACGTTCACGTGGCCATTAACTCGGTGACTGAGCAGGAAAAACAAATCACCTTCACAAAAAAATTCACTCGTGCATATTTCAAAAAGTAACTCTCTTAAAAATATCTAACTTATGTTCTAGTCCTCATCAAAAATAAATAAGACATTTCAAACAAAATACAACGCATTTGCTACTTGCCTGGACACATACAGCAGTAAACATTTAAAATATTCACGATCATAGAACTGTTTAGTGTTAAAAATCATGCATGTCATGATGAGAACTTTTAGAGTCTGTCATAGAATGTATGTACAGAATTTGAAAAAGCTGCTTTCTTTCGGTAAACAGGGGCTTAAAATAAGCAACATGTTTCTGACAAAATTTTTGGTGAGAGAAAAAGTGCTTGAATAGAATGTAAATGCAGTAAGAAAAAAGTTATGTCACATCTAAATGAAAGAAAACAAGTATTAACGTCTTTTTGTCTAATAAAATATCAGATAAAATCTACCTATTGACTTCCACCCTTTGCTGTTACCATCAGGCAGCAGCTGCTTGTTTCTAAGAGGTCAGATACTTTCTATGTCTTTCCGCCGTTGTGACCTTAAAATACATCACTATGATTTGACGCTCATGCTGCTGTAGCTTGACTGCCATAAGGGGACTCAAGGAGTTCTATTTGTGAAAATATAATTTATATTTTTCAAAAGACTACTCAACCAATACTCTTGTTATTATACTCCCACAAGGTTTCCTATTCCTCATGCTTTTCTTTCTGCTGAAATGTTCCTTCAGATCTATACTGAACAATAAAGATATGTCAATATGTTCAAGTCCCAGGCATTAAATTTTCAGGTCCCAACTTTTACAATATTGCAGTTTAAAGTGTCTCTCTATGAATACAATTAGAACTTTTCTACCTCTAGATATAAGACAGAATCATATATTTGCCCATAGCTCGACTCAGTGTAATTCTTTTGCTTTTAGACAAACGTACTCCAGATCCCATGTGAATTTCTAGTGAATTCTAAGCCTTAGTTTTTACACTATACCACTTTGGCTTCTTAAATTAATCGTACAAATTCCCAGAATTTCACTGTGAAGCAGGAATCTACTTAGCACATAGATTCTCCATTAAGCATATACTGAAAAACATCAAAAATAATTTGAGGGTGACACATGCAGAGGTGAGAAAATAAAGACTAAGCATCTGATTTTATGTTTTCATATCATGCAATACTAATATTTAAAAAAATCAACAACACACAGTACCTCAGTATCCCAAGAATTTTCTTCATAGTCCTTTTGTTTGGATTCTGATGGGAGTATCTCATCTATAAAAGGTTAATCACAGATACATTCATGAGCACAGTTCTCTACTAAAAATTTTAAAAACATATACAAATCTACTTTCATTCACGAATCTGTGGATTTTCCTCTGTGGCCCATATGTTCTTTTTGTTGATTACAATGACTACTTCTATAGTCATTCCAAAAGAATTGAAATCTAAAAACTCTGACAATTAACATTATGTCATTAGAATGCAGAAAAATAGAAATTTGACTAACTTGTATGAATTATTTCTTCACAAAGCAGTCATATCCTATTCTCCTGTGAAACACAGTATGCCCTAGGTTTCCTGTTCATTCAGAAAACTGTAATTACCTATCATCTCTCATTTCTTTGTTACTTTTTACTTGGTAGTATTACTTACGTTGATTGACTCAGCAATCTCTCTTACACAGTTCTTCAAAAAAGATGATTTATCAATGAATAAGATGTTTTAGGAATATTAACTTTTTGATGTCAGTCAACTATATTTCCAACCCTTTTACATTTCCGTATGCTATGACAGTGTATTGGGTGTGTTTTGCGTGTGTATATGCTTTAGGAAGATAAGCTTTAAAAATTTTATTGCATATAAATTAAGAACTGCTTCATTTACAATGACACACTTCTTCCCTAATGCAACAATATCTTCAGAGTCAGCTTGTGACACCTTGGAGAAACATCAGAAATGTATAGGAAAATATAATTGCCTTAAGTAATCTAATGTTCCCACGTGTAATAGGATAAAATCAAGGCCCACTCAAGACTTGACGAGTTCTCAGGGGCATAAGACAGAAAAAGAATTTATACCAAAAATAACGTCCAGTTTTCTTTATCAGCACAAAGTACAAATTACAACTATTTGAATCAGGTTCAGGAAAAAAGCAAACATGCACACCTAAAACTTAAAAGACCGTTTCATCACTATGCATACGTTTATCATTTGACATCCATCAACTGTATACCTGGTTTCAAAAGTAAATTTAACTTGTGATCTCAGCATAGCTCATGTTCACAATTCATGCAGAGGGTCCAGGAAACTCAAATCACACTTTGGTAAGTCACCATGTTCACTCATTTTTAGAAGCGTACCCTGGATCGTTTCAGAGATCTAACGTGTTGCCACACCATAGCTCTAAGAAGCTGTGGGGCACAGTTCAAATTCTTAGTGGAGTCTATGATTGCACAAGGAAATACTTTAAATATGTTACTTTTAATTTCTAATGACTAAGAAATCAGCAGATAAAACTAACTTTTTAAAGACTCCCAAATTTGCATGTTTTCAGTTTTATTTATTACTTCTCGGCATAAAAATTGTGCAATTAACTATGGTACTGTCATACAATGGAATTTTATAAATAACCTAATATTTAAAAACACAATTAATTGTGTCCTTTACGGATGTCTCTAAAAATTATAATGCTGATCAAAAAAGAATGTTGCCGAACACTACACTCTACAACCATGTACACATTAGAAGTTGAAAAAAATCGTACATATTAAATATGACCACGCACACATGTTGTAAAATGTTTAAACATGCATAAGAAGAGTTTCTAAAAACAGTTTAGAATATTGGTTACTTCCAGGCAATAAATGGTACTAGCGTAAAAGGACTCTAAAGCCAAATGCTTCAGAATCACAGTTTCATGAAAAAGTGTGTTTATCAAATATTCACAAAGAAATGAATAATTCCTTTCCTCATCTTTACAAGGTAAAGGTACCACACACACACAGGCACACGCAGGCACACACGCAGACACACACACACATAAACACACAGAGTTCACTAGTCCGAGTTACTGATTTTCTTAGGATTCTCAAAGTGACAACACCGGAAACAAGGTAATTCATGTTAAAACACAAGGGTTATATCAGTAAGAGATGGGATCCCCGAAGTAAACCGTGGAATTTGAATCAAGCTTCGAAGAGCTAAAAAAAGAAATTGGAGTTTCAACATTCACCTTCTTGAATCCTTAAGAAATACAGAAGTTCAAAATAGAAAACATTACAGTTTCAGGATACAAAAGTAGAAACATCTGAGATTAAGGCTACATTTTTTTAAAAAATATATTGAAAATTACTGTGCTTGTAATACCAGCTTTTCAAACATCAATACCAGTATTGGCATTATCTAGATCAAATCTTTTCATCAAAGTTGAAAAAAATAAACCATTGGGTACAGAAAGACCATCAAAATGTCCAATATTGAAATATTGGTCTTTCCATAGTTACATTGAAAAATTTACCTGCTCTCAATGTTTGTTCATTTTTCAATTCCAAGGCTTTATTTGGGACAGACTTTTGCATTTCAGTGGCAGGCTAAATGGGGTTGGAAGCAAAATGATTAATAAAGAATGTATACTTCACAAAATACATAGATAATAAGTCATTCAAAATGAAATCATAAAACTAAATACCTCGAAGGCAGATGGCTTCCCCGGAGGCTCTAAAAAGCAAAAGAGATTTATCATCAATCATATGTAAATATGACAAGCCAACCACAAATGAATGCCGTGATAGTATTTAACTGACTCCTCTTGCTCCAATTGGAGAATGAATACTTTAGATTTGGAAAGTTTTCTTTTGGTTTGTTTAGGACACACACACGACAAGAATACACTGAAGAAAATATAAATACAGGTTTCTCAGATCATGCAGTTAAGACTTCAAAAGCGAGATTGTGTTTCATGTGTATAAAGGGTTGATATGAGAAAATAAATGTCAAAGCTGAACATGGAATGCTACGCCACGTACTTAATGAAACACATTAGAATCACTTATATTATTCCATTCATCCTGTTCTTTAATATAGCCTATCTTCGGAAAGGTACATAGTTATGATGAAAGTTCAGCTGAATGTAGAACTGACATCTTGTCTCTGAAATGTTATGAATTGTTCAGCTTGGATATACACTTAGGTCATAACACTAAATATGAATATTTGTTTTTTTCCATAACCATATGGTGTAATCATATGCCTATATTTCTGTATCCTCTACTTTAGCTGTCTGAATGCTTCTGGATCCACTCATGCAAGAAGATGTGTAAAACTCATCATGGAAATAATCTATAATAAGCTTTCAATATTGACATATTTATATAAAAATTTATTGCAATAGATGAATTAAACATAAATAACTTTTTTATATTGTTAAGTCACCACAATATTTATCTTAAAAAGCAATCTTATTATTCAAGTATAAATTCAGTATTTTCTCAGTTCCTACAATTCGTCTGGTTCGGTGTATCATTAGTCTATAATAAATTTTTTGTGGAATGGCAATTTTACCAAAACAACACACTTCCTTAAACATAAAGCCAATGTTCTTAGTTTTCAATATGTGTCATTTGTATAGCGAACAGCAACAAAATATATATTTGTCTTCCCTGATTGTAACAGAGAAACCTAATGAGTCACTGTGGTTCCCCCAATTCTAGTAGGACTCCTGCTTCCGGTAGTCTCTGGAGTGCCCACAGTCTACATTCTGGAGTACAAATAATCTAAATGCAACTGAAGTGAGTTCACTCAACTGTTCTTCTCAGAGTCTCCAGAATTACCTGCCTACATTCTTTCTTGTTTGTCCCCTGTCACCTGCCTAGAATGCTTCAACTAAAAAAATAAATAAATAAAAAATAAAAACAGAAAATAAAAAAAAACCTCTAACTCTGTAGAATTCTTCCCATACAACACTGTTTCAAATTTATTTGTTCAACACTTCCTTTCTCTTTGTTTAGTGATAGTATCTTAAATCTATAATTTCTGTTTATCTTTTTCTTCTTCTTCTCTGGCTAAAAGCATACCCAGAAATAAAAGCAATATAATGCATTCTCCTGACCATGTTATGTCTTGACCTTCTATCCAACTGCTCTTCTTCCACTATTTTCCCATGAAAGGCCTCTCCTTTTGCTACTCAGAGCAAGCTCCAAGGACCACCAGCATCAGCATCACCTGAGAACTTATTAGAAATGCGTGCCACCACGTCCGACTAATTTTTTTGTATTTTTAGTAGAGACAGGGTTTCGCCTTGTTAGTCAGGATGGTCTCGATCTCCTAACCTCGTGATCTGCCAGTCACGGCCTCCCAACGTGCTGGGATTACAGGCGTGAGCCACCGCACCCAGTCACCATTTTTAAAATAAATATGTGTAACTATCTTTTGTTTATGTTTTCTAAAGTAATGTGGTTGACAATTATATTAGGTATACTTTAAATATAAAACTGCTGGAGTTACAACCAGATGCTTTATTCTCAAGGCATCAATATCTTCTGAACTAGCATGTGAAGCCGTGGAGAATTTTCACAATTTATATGAGAAATGAGACCATAAACTGAACTACTTCTTCCCATGTAAACAGATGAAAAGTCTAGATCCTCTCTAGGGAAAAAGAGAGCACAGTGCCATGAGACACAGAATGAATCTGTAACCAATTCTTTTCATTATAAACAAAATTTTGATTTTGTTTGATTTATATTTTTTTAAAAAAAAGAGAAAGAGAAAAAAGACTCAGAGGTGCAACTTCAGACATTATTTCATATACAAGAGCCCATTTGTTATTTGGCACTTTAGAACCTTATGCATTTTTGAAAATTTTTGTTCTAACTTCTGATCTGAGCATCTCTGAAGTTCAACAAATACACCGGGGGCCTAATAGTTCACATAATGTTTTTCCTATTTCTCCTATTTACTGATATTTTCTAAAAAGTGTAAACTAAAATTTTTCAGACTCATGACATGTCACAATGTCATAATTTTCATGGTTAATGAGTAACAGTTGTAATGCGTATTGAAAAGTAGGACTTTTCCAATTCGTGTATTTTAAATATTTTCATTTTAATTTCTAACAGTGGATGAAGCAGTAAATACCCCCACTTCAGTAAAAGCTCTGTGATATCAGCTGCCATTTAATGTCGACTTTTAGTGGCTAGAAAAGACGGTCTAATTAAATGTGTTTTAGAATTAACATGGCAAACTATGAGGCCTTAAATCAAAGCAGAGCTAATTGTATTGGGTCCATCTAAAATATTCGATAAGCAAACAAGGAAGTTCCAGGACAATATGTACAGTGTACAACCATTTATTGAAAATTTCAGACATCGGCCGGGCACGGTGCCTCACGCCTGTAATTCCAGTACTTTGGGAGGCCGAGGTGGGCGGATCACAAGGTCAGGAGATCCGGATCAGACCATCCTGGCTAACACACTGAAACCCTGTCTCTACTAAAAACACAAAACATTAGCCGGGCATGGTGGCAGGCGCCTGGAGTCCCAGCTACTCGGGAGGCTGAGGCAGGAGAATGGCGTGAACCCGGGAGGCAGAGCTTGCGTGAGCCGAGATCGCGCCATGGCACTCCAGCCTGGGTGATCTCAAAAAAACAAAAACAAAACAAAACAAAAAAACTGAAGAAAAAAATACAAACAAAAATAGAAGAAAATTTAAGACATGAAAACAAATTCTACATATAGCCTATAAGACATGAAAACAAATTCTACACACAGCGTATAAGACATGAAAACAAATTGTACACATGGTCTATAACCACATACATGTTGTGAGTTTTTGTTTTTTTATTTCTTTGCTTTTTCAGATGGAGTCTCACTCTGTCACTCAAGCTAAAGTGGCAAAAGGACGGCTCACTGCAACTTTTGCCTCCTAGTTTCAAGCGATTCTCCCACCTCAGCCTCCAGAGTAGCTGAGATGACAGGCACCCACCATCACAACCGGCTATTTTTTGTTATATTTAGTAGAGATGGGGTTTCACTAATTTGACCAGGCTGGTCTGGGACTCCTGACCTTAACTTATCTGCCCGCCTTTGTCTCCCAAAATGCTAGGATTACAGGCACGTGTCACCATGCACAGCCTGTTGTAAAATGTTTTAAACGTGCATGGGAATGACAGCAAAAACTAATTCAGGCTGTTTTGTATCTCTAGGCAATTCATTACAGTAGCATTAAAAGACACCAAGGCCAAATGCTTTATAGTCACTCTTCTAAAACACTATGTCTAGCAAAGAGTCATCAAGTAATGATTGCTTGACTGATTTTTTAAAATTAAAAGTCACACACACAGTCAGCTAATCAAAAAAAAAGCTGATTTTCTTAATATTCTCTGAGTGGCAACACTCACAACTGTCATGTCAGCAAGTGAAACTTTCTTCTAAGTAAAGATCGGAATTCCAATCAGCCTTTGAACCACTGCAAATATTTCAGTCTCAAAATTCACCTGCCTTAAAACCAAGCACGTACAGAAATTGCAAACTGGAAACTTTACACTATCAGGATATTAAAGTAGAACCACATGAGGTAAAGCAGAATTTTTTTTCTAAATCTCTAAATCTTATGCTTGTAAATGGCATTTTCTCAAACAGAAATACTCACATTGGCATTATTGTATCAAAATATCCCATCAAATTTTGAATAGAAAACAACATTGGGAATGAAAAGTCTCACAGCATTTCAAATATTTTAATATTCTCCTTTCCAGAGTAAAATTAAAATTACAAAATTTACCTGCTTTGAAAGTTTGCATGTCCTTCAATTCTAAGGCTTTAGTTGGAATAGAAACTTTCATTCCGCAGGTAGCCTAAATGGGTTTGGAAACAAAACAATTAATATACAATGTATACTTCATAAAATATGTAGTTGATACTCAAGACAAAAATATAAAAGTTATTACCTTCAGAAGACCATCTTTATTAGGAGACTCTATAAGAAAAGGGACATACATAATTGATTATATGCAAGCCTGACAAAGCCTACCGAACATTCACACAGTGTGAACATGAAGATGAATCCTCATGCTTGGATTGCAAAACGGATTACACTATGTTTTGGGGTCTTTTGGGTTATTGTATTTGTTATCATGCCAACGTGACAGAAATATACCTAAGAAAATTTGAAAACTAGATTTCATCAAACATGCTGTGAGGATTTCAACATTGAAAATATATTTAAGGTGACAATAACTAAAGCAGAAATATCCTACTATCAGTAAGAGAAAGCGGCCGTATAAGGAAAGAAGTTGTATTTAATAAGATGACCAAGTCATGCCACACCCCACCAAAACAGAATAAATGACTAAGCTAATGGGAGAATGCTATGGCATATTGTTAAGGAAACACGTCAGAATCACTTATGTCAATATATACATGTAGCTATTATGTTCTTCAATTTGTCCTGGAGTTTAGGAATTGCAAAGTTGTGATGAGAGTTCAAAGGTACAATGTACTTATCATTGCAGAGAAGGTTCTAAATTTAGCAGCATATCTACTTATAGAATAAAAGTTAATAAATATATTCATTTTTGTACCTCTGTGAAATACGAGTATTTTCACATTCATAGGGTTCTCTAGTTTAGTCCTCTTAAAATTTCCTGATCCACTTATACAAAAAGGTCCAAGCGTACCCATCAACAAACCAATACAGGCCAGGTGCAGTGGCTCATGCCTGTAATTCCAGCAATTTGGAAGGCTGAGGAGGGCGGATCTCTGGAGGCCAGGAGTTCCAAACCAGCCTGGCCAAAATCACTATTTTGGAAACACTGTCTCCACTAAAATTACAAAAATCAGCCAGGTATGGTGGTACATGCCTGTAAACCCAGCTACTTGGGTGCCTGAGGTACCAGAATCACTTGAACCCAGGAGGCAGATGTTGCAATGAGCCAAGATCATGCCACTGCACTCCAGCCTGGATGACAGAGCGAGAAAACATCTTATATGGATGTATTACAAACAAGAAGCAAACTTCTAGAGACTTTTTACATATCATTCACCTGCATATTTCAATGTTACAATAATGCTTATTCAAAATAACAGTTTTAGTGTTCAAGGAATGAATCCTACAATAGTTTTGTTTCTAAAACTAATTCTATTTGTTACACCGTGCCAGGTGTTAAACTATTGTTATGAATAAGCTCTTATAAAAAACTTAGCTTCAAGAAAATCACAGACATTTCATTGAGATAGAAATAGATCTCATGTCTTCAAATAATATTAATCAAACATGTTTAATCACTCATTTTTCTCTACTCCTCAAATATTTCCATATGACATGCTTTAATATATTTAGAAATATCAACTATATATGTTGTTTCCCTTGAGAGATCATTGATCAATAATGAAGACACTTCAGGGACATAAACTCTCTAAAACACACAAAATTTATGTCTAACCATTTTAAGGCTAAATATGCATGACCATATTGCATGTATGTGTGTTAGAAAAAAAGTGCTTAAATTTGTATTCAATACGCTTTAAATAAAAACCTGCTTTAATTACAATGAGAAGGTCATTCTCTATTCATTAATATCTTTAAAAGTTACTTCTGAAGCACTGAAGAAACCTCCAAAATTCATATATAAGAAATGATACCATGAATTCATCTGCTTGTTTTAGGTAAAACTGTGAGAAATACACATCCTCACTAAGTGCAAAGAAAGCAGAGTGTCATGAGACAGGAAATGAATATGTAACCAAAATATTTTCCTTTATAAAGAAAATAACTGGCATTAAATTTTCTAAGACAAGATAAAAAAGCAAAACACGCAGAGATGAAACAGTAAAGGTGAGCTCATCATCAAGGAACCATTTATCACTTGGCACTTAAGAATCCTATGTAAGGTTGAAAACTCTGGTTCTAAATTGTGATCTGATCATCCCTGAAGTTCAAAATTCATGCAGAGGAACCGGGTAGGAAAATACCACCTTAGTTTTTTTTTATTACTTTTATTTTTATAAAGGGGTACACTGGAGTTGTTTAGAATCAGGACAGGTCACATGGCATAGCTCGAAAGATTCATGAGCCGCATTTGTAATGGCTATTGAAATGTATGGCTGTACGTACTTGGATTTTCAGTACTTCACTTTTAATTTCTAGTATAGCATGAAGTAGGACATACACTTAAACAAAGGCTTGTTGACATCCGTAATTATATTTATGTTGCTCTTTAGTCACCATGAATAGCGTCTAATTAAAGGTGGTGTAAAGTAAAAATGCACACTATGATTTTTTTTTTTTTTTGATAGCGTATCACTCTGTTGCCCAGACTGGAGTGCACTGGCGAGATCTTGGCTCGCTACAAGCTCCGCCTCCCAAGTTCACGCCATTTTCCTGCCTCAGCCTCCAGAGTAGCTGGGACTACAGGCACCCACCACCACGCCCGGCTAATTTTTTGTATTTTTAGTAGAGATGGGGTTTCACCGTATTGGCCAGGATGGTCTGGATCTCCTAACCTTGTGATCCGCCCGCGTCGCCCTCCCAAAGTGCTGGAATTACAGGCGTGAGCCACCACGACTGGCCTGAAATCTTAAAATAAATGAAAAACAAGCTAATCGCTGAACAAAAACTAAACAGTTGCTGTAGAATGACAACAACATTCTACAACCATTTATATATGATTTTTGCAAAAAGTGTTAATACCAATATGTATATGCTGACTGATAAGGAGAAAACTGATCTGGAATCACAGGAGCAAATCATGACACTGAGAAAATAAATGCAAAAGCTGAACGTAGAATGCTACACCATGTGTCTTTAATGCAACACATTATAATAATTTATATCATTACATTACAAACATTCATCATGTTCTTTAATATGTCCTGTCATTGAGAAGCCACACAGTTCAGATGAGAGTTCAGCTAAATGTAGAATTGACATCTCATCAGTGAAAGTGTAATTAATTGATCAGCTTGGATATATACTTAAAGCATAATACTAAATATAAATATTCATTGATTTTTATAACCATATGCTATAATAGTATGCCAACATTTTTGTAATTTCCAGCTTAGCCATCTCAATATTTCTTGATCCACTCATGGAGGAAGATGTACAAACTTCATCAGGAATAGCAAATTTAATAAGCTTTCAATATTGCTGTATTTCATTTAAATTTAGTTGCAATAGACTTTTAAATATTAATAACATTTTCTATGTTAAAATCAGTAAAATACCTATGAATAACAACAATTTAAGTATTCAAGTCATAAATTCAGAATTTTATGGTTTTTAAAATTAGTCTGGTTTCGTGTATCATGTTATTTGCTAATGAGGTTTTATAAAATGGCAATTTTACCAACACAATTTGCTTCCTTAAAAATAAAGCCAAGGTTCTTACATTCAAGTATATCTTATTCAAATTGTGAATATCAACAACATACATACATACATATATACATAAATATATTTGATGCCTCATAGTAATAAAGAAAATTAATGAGTCACTGAGGTTTAGTCCAATTCTAGTAATCCTCATGATTCCAGTAGTCTCCAGAGCACCCACACTCTAGCATTCTGCAGTAAAACTTTTCTAAATGCTTCTGAAGTGAGCTCACTCCATTTTCATTCATAGAAAATCCAAAATCATCTAGCTGGCTTCTCTCTTGTCCCCTGCTTCCTGCCTCACAATCTCTCTGCTTTAGCAAAAATAATCTCTAGACTTGTGCTCTTGGTTCTTCCCATTCAACACCTGTGAAAATTTTTTTCCCACTCTTTCCTTTTGTTTAGTGGTAGTATCTTCCATCTATAATTTCTATTGCATTGCCCCTTTCTTCTTCTCCCCTGACTAAAAACATCCTCAAAATTGAGAACACCATACTGCTCTCTCCTGACCCTTTTCTGTCTTGACCTTCTATCCAATTGTTCTTCCACATTTTTCCCACAAAAGGCCTCTCCTCTTGCTACCCAGAGCAAGGTCCAAGGACCACCAGCATCAGCATCACCTGAGAACTTTTTAAAAATGCAGAATCCCAAGTCGGCTGAATCTCAGTGTGAATTGTTAACAAGGTTTTCAGCTGATTTTCTAAAGTTTGAAAACTTCTGGTCTATACGGAGTGTATATGACAAATTATATACATGTGTGGCCATGCAGATATGCTTATTCTCACCTATTGCAAATAGAACACAGCTCTCCATGGTCAGGTGCTTCCATCCCTAATGGCTTCCCACCAGTGAGAAAGACATTAAGAGTCAGAATATTTTTGCTGTAATTCTCTGGTAAATTTTGATACTAGAAGGTCACTTTATATTCTTCCCAAATTTCTAACAATACCCAATCTTTTCCTAAAGAATCATTTCATTTTATCATCCTCCACTATATAAACCTGCTTCTTGTTCCTTCATGTACTCTCTGTACGTTCTGTCTTTCTCAGTCTTCAGTTACTCTATTACTACATTCTTCTTTCTTATTTTCTCATTTTCCTCAGGTCTTGCAATATCTTGAATTCAAACTAATAATTCAGCTCCTTTTCAGCACTCTCAATATAGTCTGTTGCCAACACCTGATGAGACATACAACTTACGACCATTGCACTTCTCTTTTTTTCCATGGTTTGCATTTAGGAGGTAATTTTCTTCAGCTACTAGAGGATATCCCTCCTCATCAGTTTAGAGAAATATTCGGTCAACTGATTTTTAAATAAAAAACGGTTCTTACCTTCTAATTTTCCATTTATTTTATCTATTTCTTTTTGATGTGTAGCCTTGGGTAAACACACATCCTTCTGTGAAACAGTCTCACAGAGACTCTGTTAAAAGTAATAGCAATAAATAATTTCAATGGATAAATCCTAGTAATGAAGAGTATCAAAATTTCCTAATTAAATTCTTTTTTAAAAACACAATTTCCTCCTTTGCAAACAATTCGACTTAAGTGCAGATACATATAGAAAACCAACACATTTTGATAGAAAACCTCACACAACCCTCTCTACATCAAGCTGATCTTTACATTCATGTGGCCATTAACTCAGTGACTGAGCAGGAAAAACAAATCACCTTGATAAAAAAATTCACTCGTGCATATTTCAAAAAGTATCTCTCTTAAAAATATCTAACTTATGTTCTAGTCCTCATCAAAAATAAATAAGACATTTCAAACAAAATACAACACATTTGCTACTTGCCAGGACACATACAGCATTAAACATTTAAAATATTCATGATCACAGAACTGTTTAGTGTTAAAAATGATGCATGTCATGAAGAGAACTTTTAGAGTCTGTCACAGAATGTATGCACAGAATATGAAAAAGCTGCTTCCTTTCGGTAAACAGGGGCTTAAAATAAGCAACATGTTTTAGACAAAATTTATGGTGATAGAAAAAGTGCTTGAATAGAATGTAAATGCAGTAAGAAAAAAATTACGTCACATCTAAATGAAAGCAAACAAGTGTTAAAGTCTTTTTGTCTAATAAAATATCAGATAAAATCTACCTATTGACTTCCACCTTTTGCTGTTACCACCAGGCAGCAGCTGCTTGTTTCTAAGAGGTCAGATACTTCCCATGTCTTTCCACAGTTGTGACCTTAAAATACATCACTATTATTTGACGCTCATGCTGCTGCAGCTTGACTGCCATAAGAGGACTCAAGGAGTTCTATTTGTGAAAATATAATTTATATTTTTCAAAAGACTACTCAACCAATACTCTTGTTATTATACTCCCACAAGGTTTCCTATTCCTCATGCTTTTCTTTCTGCTGAAATGTTCCTTCAGATCTATACTGAACAATAAACATATGTCAATACATTCAAGTCCCAGGCATTAACTTTTCAGGTCCCAGCTTTTACAATACTGCAGTTTAAAATGTCTCTCTATGCATCCAATTAGAACTTTTGTACATCTAGATGTAAGACAGAATCATATATTTGCCCATAGCTGGAATCAGTGTAATTCTTTCACTTTTAGACAAATGTACTTCAGATCCCATGTGAATTTCTAGTGAATTCTAAGCCTTAGTTTTTACACTATACCACTTTGGCTTCTTAAATTAATCGTACAAATTCCCAGAATTTCACTATGAAGCAGTAATCTACTTAGCACATAGATTCTCCATTAAGCATATTCTGAAAAATATCAAAAATAATTTCGGGGTGACATATGAAGAGGCGAGAAAATAAAGCCTAAGCCTCTGCCTTTATGTTTTCATATCATGCAATACTAATATTAAAAAAAAATCAATAACACATAGTACCTCAGAATCCCAAGAATTTTCTTCATAGTCCTTTTGTTTGGATTCTGGTGGGAACATCGGATCTATAAAAGGTTAATCACAGAAACATTCATGACAACATTTCTCTACTATAAATTTTAAAAACATATACAAATCTACTTTCATTCACGAATCTGTGGTTTTTCCTCTGTGGCCCGTATATTCTTTTTGTCGATTACAATAACTACTTCTATAGTCATTCCATTAGAATTGAAATCTAAAAAGTCTGAAAATTAACATTATTTCATTACAATGCAGAAAAATAGAAATTTGATTAACTTGTATGGATTATTTCTTCATAAAGCAGTCATATCCTCTTCTCCTCTGAAACACAGTATGTCCTATATTTGCTGTTCATTCAGAAAACTTTAATTACCTATCATCTCTCTTTTCTTTGTAAATTTATATTTGGTAGTATTACTTAGTTTGATTGACTCAGCAATCTCTATTACACAGTTCTTCCACAAAGATGATTTATCAATGAATAAGATTTTTTAGGAGTATTAACTTTTTGATGTTAGTCAACTATATGTCCAATCCTTTTACATTTCAATATTCTATGACAGTGTATTGGGTGTGTTTTGGGTGTGTATATGTTTTAGGAAGATAAGCTTAAAAACTTTTATTGAATATAAATTAACAACTGCTTCAATTACAATGACATACTTCTTCCCTAATGCAACAATATCTTCAGAGTCAGTTTGTGACACCTTGGAGAAACATCAGAAATGTATAGGAAAATATAATTGCCTTAAGTAATCTAACGTTCCCACATGTTATAGGATAAAATCAAGGCCCACTCAAGACTTGACGAGTTCTCAGGAACATGAGACAGAAAATGAATTTATACCAAAAATAATGTCCAGTTTTCTTTATCAGTACAAAGTACAAATTACAACTATTTGAATCAGGTTGAGGAAAAAAAGCAAACATGCACAACTAAAACTTAAAAGACCGTTTCATCACTATGCATACGTTTCTCATTTGACATCCATCAACTGTATACCTGGTTTTCAAAAGTAAGTTTAACTTCTGATCTTAGCATCCCTAATGTTCACATTTCATGCAGAGGGTACAAGAAACTCAAATCACACTTTGGTAAGTCACCATGTTCACTCATTTTTAGAAGCGTACCCTGGATCGTTTCAGAGATCTAACGTGTTGCCACACCATAGCTCTAAGAAGCTGTGGGGCACAGTTCAAATTCTTAGTGGAGTGTATGATTGCACAAGGAAATACTTTAAATATTTTACTTTTAGTTTCTAATACCTAAAAAATCAGCAGATAACACTAACTTTTGAAAGAGTCTGAAATCTGAATGTTTTCATTTTTATTTATTACTTATCAGCATAAAAATTGTGCAATTAACTATGGTACTGTCATACAATGGAATTTTATAAACAACCTAATATTAAAAAACACAGTTAATTGTGTCCTTTATGGATGTCACTAAAAATTATGATGCTGATCAAAAAAGAATGTTTCTGAACATTACACCGTACAACCATGTATGCATTAGAAGTTGAAAAAAATTGTACATATTAAATATGACCACGCACACATGTTGTAAAATGTTTAAACATGCATAAGAATAGTTTTAAAAAGTAGGTTAGTGTAAAAAGACTCTAAACCCAAATGCTTCAGAATTACAGTTTTAGGAAAAAGTGTGCTTATCAAATATTCACAAAGAAATGACTAATTACTTTCCTCATCTTTACAAGGTAAAGGTACCAAACACATAAACAGACACACACAGGAACACACGCAGACACACACACACACAAACACACAGAGTTCACTAATCCGAGTTACTGATTTTCTTAGGATTCCCAAAGTGACAACACTGGAAACAAGGTAATTAATATTAAAACACAAGTGTTATATCAGTAAAAGACGTGATCCCCGAAGTAAACAGTGGAATTTGAATCAAGCTTCGAAGAACTAAAAGAAGTTAAGAGTTTCAAAATTCACCTACTTGAATCTTTAAGAATTACAGAAGTTCAAAATAGTAAACATTACAGTTTCGGGATACAAAAGTAGAAACATCTGAGATTAAGGCTACATTTTTAAAAAATATATTAAAAATTACTGTTCTTGTAATATCAGGTTTTCAAACATCAATACCAGTATTGGCATTATCTAGATCAAATGTTTTCATCAAAGTTGAAAAAAATAAAGCATTGGGGATAGAAAGACCATCAAAATGTCCAATATTGAAATATTCGTCTTTGCATAGTTAAATTGAAAAATTTACCTGCTCTCAATGTTTGTTCATTCTTCAATTCAAAGGCTTTATTTGGAACAGAGTTTTGCATTTCAATGGCAGGCTAAATGGGGTTGGAAGCAAAATGATTAATAAAGAATGTATACTTCACAAATACATAATTAATAAGTCATTCAAAATGAAATAATAAAACTAAATACCTTGAAGGCAGATGGCTTCTTAGGAGGCTCTAAAAAGCAAAAGAGATTTATCATCAATCATAAGTAAGTATGACAATGCCAACCAAATGAATGCAGTCATAGTATGTAACTGATTCCTCTTGGTCGACTTTGAGAACGAATACTTTAGATTTGGAAAGTTTTCTTTTGGTTTGTTTAGGACACACACACGACAGGAATACACTGAAGAAAATATAAATATAGGTTTCATAGATCGTGCAGTTAAGACTTCAAAGCGAGATTGTGTTTCACGTGTAAAAAGGGTTGATATGAGAAAATAAATGTCAAAGCTGAACATGGAATGCTACACCACGTACTTAATGAAACATATTAGAATCATTTATGTTATTCTATTCATCATGTTCTTTAATATGGCCTATCTTTGGAAAAGTACATAGTTATGATGAGAGTTCAGCTGAATGTAGAATTGACATCTCATCAGTGAAGTGTTATGAATTGATCAGCTTGGATATATACTTAGTTCATAATACTAAATATAAATATTCATTGTTTTCCATAACCATATGGTGTAATAATATGCCTACATTTCTGTATCCTCCAGTTTATACATCTGAATGCTTCTTGATCCACTCATGCAAGATGATGTATAAAACTCATCATGGAAATAATCTATAATAAGCTTTCAATATTGACATATGTATATAAAAATTAATTGCAATAGATGTATTAAACATAAATAACTTTTTATATTATAAAGTCACCACAATATTTATTTTAAAAAGCAATCTTATTATTCAAGTATAAATTCAGTATTTTTTTAGCTCCTACAATTCATCTGATTTGGCGTATCATTAGTCTATAATAAATTTTTGTGGAATGACAATTTTACCAAAACAACTCACTTTCTTAAAATATAAAGCCAATGTTCTTAGTTTCAAATATATCTCACTTGAATAGCTAACATCAACCAAATATATATTTGTCATGCCTGATTGTAACATAGAAACCTAATGAGTCACTTTGGTTTCTCCAATTCTAGTAAGACTCCTGCTTCTGGTAGTCTCTGGAGTGTCCATAATTTACTTTCTGGAGTGCAAATAATCTAAACACATCTGAAGCGAGTTCACTGAACTGTCCTTCTCAGAGTCTCCAAAATTACCTACCTACCTTCTCTCTTGTTTGTCCCGTTACCTGCCTAGAATGCCTCTGCTAAAAAAATTTTTAAAAAAATTTAAAAAAACTCTAACTTCCTAGAACTGATTTTTTCCATCCAACACTGTTTCAAATTTATTTTTCCATCACTTCCTTTCTCCTTGTTTAGTGACAGTAACTTAAATTTATAATTTGTTTCTTTATCTTTTTATTCTTCTTCTCTGGCTAAAAGCATACTCAGAAATAAAAGGAATATAATGCTTTCTCTTGACCCTGTTTTGTCTTATCCTTTTATCCAATTGCTCTTCTTCCACATTTTTCCCATGAATGGCCTCTCCTCTTGCTACTCAGAATGAGCTCCAAGTACCACTGGTATCAGCATCGCCTGAGAACTTATTAAAATTTAGAAACTCAATTATGCTGAATGATACTGTGTATTAACAAGGTATTCAGCTGATTTTCTAATGTTTCATAAGTATTTGTCTATACTGAGTGTATATGATAAATTTTATAGATGCACACCTATGCATTTTTGTTAATACTCACCTATTGCAAATAAAACACAATTCTGCATGCTCAGATAATTCCATTCCTAATGCCTTCCCAGTAGTGAGAAAGACAGGAAAAGTGAGAAAACTTTAGCTATAATTTTCGGACAAGTTTTGGTACTGGAAGATCATTTTATATTCTTGCCATCTTTCTAAGCATGGTCTATCTTTTCTAAAAAATATTTTATTTTGCCACCTCCATTATATAAACCTGCTTCTTGTTCCTTCATGAACTCCCTGTACTCTCTCTGCCTTCTTTAGTCTTCATTCCCTTTTTACTCCTTTTCCCTTACTTGTTTCCTGACTTTCGTCATGTCCTAGAGTATCTTGGATTCAAACAAATAATTCGGTTGTTTTTTTTGCACTCTCTACATATTCCTGTTGCCAACACCTGAAAAGATACATAACTTATCATTTTACTCCTCTCTTTTCGATGTTATGTATTTAGTGGGTAATTTTATTTGGCTATTAGAGTATATCAGTCATCATGCATTTAGACAAACATATGGTTAAAAGACTTTTCAAATAAAAAATCGTTCTTACCTTCTACTTCTCTATTTATCTCCATTACTTTTTGATATATAGACTCAGGTATACACACTTGAATCTTTGCAGAACTCTCAAAGAGACTCTGTTAAAAGTAGTATCAATAGATAATTTCAGTTTTAAAATCATAAGCATGAAAATTCCTAATTAAAATATTTTTTAAACTCAATTTCTGACTTCAAAGGCAATTTGATTTGAGGATAGGCACATATTGAAAATCATGACATTTTGATAGAAACCCTCACACATGCTATCTATATCAAAACTTATCTGTTATCTTCATGCAGCTATTGACTCGGTTACTGAGCATGAAAAATAAATAACATTGACAAAAATTTTCACTCATCTGCATATTTCAAAAAGTAGCTCACTTAAAAATATCTTACTTTATCTTCCTCACCAAAAATCAAGAAGGCACATCAAACAAGTACAATACACTTGCTACCTGCCATAACACATGTTGGGGTTCAATCAGACTGGTGGAAAAAATATTAGAGGTAGTTATATAAATAGACACAAATCTTCTTGGAAGGCCGAGAAGTTTGCATAACTTTGGTAATAGATATGGTTGAAGGCAACCTGATCTTTACCTTTAGTTAAACAAATTAAAGTAGTCATAAAGGAAGGCAGAGTAGCTTACCTAGCTAGCTTGTTTACTCATATAATCTTAAGACTCACCTTTGATGTACCACAGGTGCTTAAGTGCTTTTTACTCAGGACTACCCCAGGAAGTCCACAATGTCAATTACCCTCTAAGGGTATTGACTCAAGCTTTTGTTAATTAATCATACTGAATAAATGCGAGTCTGACTAGCTGATCAGGGCCATAGTCACAACTGTTTACAGAACTCAACAGGGAGTCTGTAAGCCACTCAGACGCCCTCAGCTGGACTGGCAGAGAAGAATATCTGTGTGTCAATGTACTTTATTCATCTGTCCCCGGGTCAGGGGTCTGCAAGGGACAGACTCCCTGCAGCTGGTGCCCCCTCCAGAGGAGCGCTGCCGCAAATACATACTGCATTAAACACTGAAATTATTCATGATAATAGAATTATTTAGTGTTAAAAATGATGCATGGCATGAAAAGAATGTTAAGAATAAGTCATATAAAGTGCACTCAGAACATTGTAGAAGCTGCTTTATTTAGGTAAATGGGCTTAAAATAATCAACATGTTTTTGATAAAATATCTGCTGATGGAAAAAGTACTTGAATAAAATGAAAAAGTAGTAAGGAAAACTTATATTTATGTTATGTTTAAATGAAAGCAATCAAGTATTAGAAAGTCTTTTTTTGTCTATGGACAAATTAGATAAAGTCTGCTTGTCTGTTGTCATCTCATTTCTGTTACCACTGTGCAGCAGGGGCTTGGATCTAAGAGGTCAGGCACTTCCTGTGTCTTTCCACAGTTGTGACCTTGGACTATATCACTATTATTTGATACTTATGTTGCTATAAGCATGGCTACCACAAACGGACTCAAAGAGTTCTATCTGTAAAAATAATTTCTACTTTTTAAAATACTACTCAACCAAATTGTTGTTATTATAGTCCCACTGGTTTCCTATTCTTTATGCATGTTTGTCTCCTGAAATGTTCCTTCAGATCTATACTGGACAATACAGATACGTCAATAATTTCCAATCCAAGCATTATCTTTTATGTTTCAAGTTGTACAAAACTGCAGCTTAAACTGTTTTTCTATGAATCCAATTAAAATTTTTGTACGTCTAGATATACCACTGAGTCATATAATTGCCCAAAGATGAACTCGGAGTAATTCTTTAGCTTTTGATCAAATTTCACCTCAGAACTCATGTGAATTACTGGTGAATTCTAAGCCTTATTTTTTACACTGTACTACACAAGTGTCTGAAACTAATTCTGAAAATTAGCAGAATTTCACTACCAAGCAGTAATCTACTCAGCACACATTTTTTTTTAAGTATTTCTTTTTTTGGAGACAGAGTCTCACTCTGTCACCCAGACTGGAGTGCAATGGCCCGATCTGAGTGCAATGGCACGATCTCAGCTCACTGCAACCTCCACCTCCCGGGTTCAAGTGATTCTCCTGCCTCAGCCTCCTCAGTAGCTGGGATTACAGGGGTATGCCACCACACCCAACTAATTTTGTATTTTTAGTACAGACAGGGTTTCACCATATTAGCCAGGCTGGTCTCAAACTCCTGAACTCAGGTGATCCTCCCACCTCGGGCCTTCCGAAGTGCTGGGATTACAGGCATGAGTCACCGTGCCCAGCCAAGTATGTTTTTAGAAATATCAGAATTTCTTCTGAGCATAGGCAGTGGTAAGAAAACCAAGTCAAAGCCTCTGACTTTATATTTTCACATCACTCAATATTAATATTTTTAGAGAATAACATCAATAATACACAATACCCGAGAATCACAAGAATATTCTTCATCTTCCTCTTGTTTGGATTCTGATGGGAACCTCTGATCTATAAAAAGTTAATCACAGATATATTCATGATAACATTTCTTATTATAAATTTTTAAAACATATACAAATCTATTTTCATTCATGAATCTGTGGACTTACTTCTATAGCCTGTATATTCTATTGGTAGATAACCACAACCACTTCTATAGTCAAATGGTTAGAGCTGCAATCTTAAAAATGTAAAAATTAATTTTATATTCATTAGAATGCAAAAAAATTAAAAATTTGATTAATTTGTATTAATTATTTCTTCACAAAAGAAGTCCTATCCTCTTCTCCCGTGAAGCATACTATGTCAGATATTTGCTGTTCACTCAGATAACTTTAATTACCTGTCAGCTCTCATTACTTTCTTTTATTTTTTAGTATTATGTAGTTTGATTGACTAATCTTTATTATATGGTTCTTCAAAAAAGATTATTTATCAATAAATAAGATGCTTCAAAATATTAACTTTTTGATATTAGCAAAATATATGTCCAACCCTTTTAAATTTCAATATGCCATGACAGTATATTTGGTGTGTATGTGTTTTAGATAAATAAGCTTAAAGAACTTGTATTGCATATAAATTAAAAACTGCTTTAATTACAATGAGATAGTCTTTCCTTAATGCAACAATACCTTCAGAATCAACTTGTGCCTCCTTGGAGAAACATTAAAAATTTATAGGAAAAACAATTGCCTTAAGTAACTAAATTTCCCACATTTCATAGAATTAAATCAAGGTCCATGCAAGGCCCAAGGAATACTGACAGCCATGAGACAGAAAACAAATATATAACAGAAATATTCTAAATTCTTCTGAAGTGAATTCACTCAAATTTCCTAGTTAGACACAGCCCCTTAACTGATGGCTTTCACAGGGACAAAGAAACCCTACCAATTACTACGGTTATTTTTAAGTTAAAAAAAATTCAGTAAAAGAAATCAAAATAAAATAACGGCAAAGAAAGACCTACGTATTTAAATGTGTAAATTGAGCTTCTGAACTTGACTCTTTTTACCCTGGATGGGTCAAACTTTCATAATAGATTGATACTAGGCCACAGATTGGTGACAAAAAAAAAAAAAAAAGACTATAGCATGAACTACTACAAAAGTTTCGTCTTTAAATCTTTTTATGTAATTACCCTCCATCTTTCTTCTATATGAAGGGCCAGCAAACTATAGGCCACAGGCCAAATTCAGCTTACCAAATGGCTTTTTATACAAAGTTTTATTGGAATACAATCTTGCCTGTTTGCTCACACATTATCTATGACTGCTTTCACCCTACAATGCAGAGTTCAATAGCTGTTATAGAGACCACATGGCCTAACATTTTTTTTTCTTTTTTTAGATGGAATGTTGCTCTGTCACACAGGCTAGAGTGTAGTGGTACGATCTCAGCTCACTGCAACCTCTGCCTCCTGGGTTCAAGTGATTCTCCTGCCTCAGCCTCCTAGGTAGCTGGGATTACAGGTGCATGCCGCCACACCTGGCTACTTTCTGTATTTTTAGTAAAGATGAGGTTTCACCATGTTGGCCAGACTGTTCTCGAACTCCTGACCTGGTGATCCGCATGCTTCAGCCTCCCAAAGTGCTGGGATTACAGGTGTGAGCCACCATGCCCAGCGGCCTAACATATTCCCTATCTGTCACTTTACAGGAAAAGTTTGCCAATCTCTGCCTTATACCATAACCAGTATGCCCTGATACTCAAATCTAATCTTGTGACTCCCCTGCTCAAAATTTTCCAATGAATCCCTGCAGAAAACATTGCTGGCTTCCTATGCATAAGCATTATTTTTTCTTTCTTGCTGCAGAAACACAAGTTTCTTTAGATATTCAGTATTCCATTACCCCAATCCCATCTCAAAAAGAGAAATCATTATTCTAAGCTAATCACAGTAATTACATTTGCTTTCCTAGTGACTGGTTTAGATATGGGCATGTGGTGTAATCCAGCCAATAAAATGTTACAGGAAGATTACTGCAAGCTTCCAAGTTTTCTCCCTATTTAAAAGAAACATGTGAACAAAAGCAGCCCTTCCAGCCTTTAAATATTGTCTTGAGAGAGCATGATTATTGGAGCTGTTGCTAACTAGCCAACCATAAGTGGGATCCTGGCTGGGCACAGTGGTTCACACCTGAATTCCCAGCACTTTTGGAGGCCAAGGCAGGCATATCATGAGGTCAGGAGTTTGAGTCTGGTCAATATAGTGAAACCCTATCTCTACTAAAAATACAAAAAATTATCCAGGTGTGGTGGTGGGCACGTGTAATCCTAGCTACTTGGGAGGCTAAGGCAGGATAATCACATGAACCTGGGAGGCGGAGGTTGTAGTCAGCCGAGATCACTCGTGCCATTGCACTCCAGCCCAGGGGACAGTTCGAGACTCTGTCTCACAAAAAAAAAAAAAAAAAAAAAAAAAAAAAAGTGTGATCCTATGATATCCCTGTACCACCAAACAACTTTGGTTCCTATGGTTTTAGCCATTGTTAGTTAGTTCATCTAGCATTTACGGCCAGAAGAATTGTGAGAATTTTTCCAGGACCTACAGAATAAGAGCTACTTATTCCTATACTATTAAAAAGTGTTGCCTAAGCTCGCCTTATTTAGATATTCAAGTCATTCCCAACTACTCCCATATCACACTTTTTTCACTAGGGAACCTGAAGTGCCAATAAACCTTACAAAGTTCGCTCTAGCATCTTACCATTGGCACTTGCTTTTGTAGATGATTCTTTTGTAGGACATGCAATCATCTTAGATCTTCCTTTTTCCAAAACTTTAGTTTTATTAGATGTTACTCTTGCCACGCATCCAGTCTTTACAGGTGTTTCTTTTTTCTCCCATGCGATCTTCCTAGGTCTTCCTTTTGCTGCCCACGTAAATTTCTCAGATGTTTCTTTTGCGGGACTCATAATTTCCCTAGGTGTGTCTTCTTTTTTCTCCCATGCGATCTTCCTAGGTCTTCCTTTTGCTGGCCACGTAAATTTCTCAGATGTTTCTTTTGCAGGACTCGTAATTTCCCTAGGTGTTTCTTCTGCTGACTGTTCGAACTTTCCAGATGTCGCTTTCTCCAAACATTGAATTTTGTCAGATGTTCCCTCCACCAAGGATGCAGCCTCATCAGGTGTTTTTTCCACCAAGCTTTCAGCCGTGTCAGGTGTTCTTTCCACCAAGGGTGCAGCCTCATCAGGTGTTTTTTCCACCAAGCTTTCAGCTGTGTCAGGTGTTCTTTCCGCCAAGGGTGCAGCCTCATCAGGTGTTCCTGCAGATGTTCCTTCTGCCAAACACACAATCTGGTTAAATTTTCCTTCTACTAAATATCATCCTCCTGACTCTTCACCTGGCAAACTTCTACTCATTCTGTATGCTTTCCTTAAATACTACCAAACTTTTCTTTTCTCTTTTTTTTTTTTTTTTTTTTTGAGACAGAGTCTCACTCAGTCACCCATGCTGGAGTGCAGTGGTGTGATCTCAGCTCAATGCAATTCAAGCAATTCTCCTACCTCAAGCGATTCTCCTACCTCAGTCTCCCAAGTAGCTGGGATTACAGACGTGGGCCATATCACCCAGCTAATTTTTCATATTTAGTAGAGACGGGTTTCACCATGTTAGTCAGGCTGGTCTCAAACTCCTGAGCTCAAGCAATACATCTGCCTTGGCCTCCCAGAGTGCTAGGACTACAGGAGTGAGCCACTGTGCCTGGACACTACCAAACTTTTTAAAGCTTTAATTCTTCACCTTGGATATAAAAGGTCTGACACATGCTGAATACAGTAACGACATGACATAATAAGTAATAATTATAAGCTTCCAAAGGGGTTCTGGCACAGAGTAAGCACTAAATAAAGTAACAAATAATAAAAAAAGACAATAATAACAAGAAAAATGCTTAATACCTTAATAAAGTAGTAAATAATATAAAATGACCAATTATATAATAACAAGGAAGATGCTTAGTACCTTAAAGATACCTAACAATTATTTGTTAAGTGGACAAGTGGATAAATGAATAAAAAAACATTTTTTACGAAATTCTGTTGGAAAAATGCAGAAATTCAATAAGGACAGCTCTACTGTTTTATGAGCACCTTAAAGACCCAAACTATATGTATTCTATCCTTGTCTCCTGCAACTTGCAAAACCTAACTTACAGAGGTCCTTTAATAAATATATAATAAAGATATGCCCATATAATTCATATTGTACAATGCATTATGTCACATTTAGGTATCATAGTAGCATTTTTGTTATTATGAAAAATTTTTCTAACTTCATTATAATTTGTTGAGCCTAGAGTTAAGCTATTTGAATATTTATAATGATAATATTTTGGCTATTAGAAACAGAGTATCTTGTTGTAACAAATTACTATTAACACCCTAATTATCCAGCAGATAGAACAACATATCTTGTTTTAATGAAGTAAATATATCTTATTTGGTTTCAACTTGGAGGAAATGAAGTTGATAATAGTGAGACCTTGTTGGTACAAGACTATGTAACATAACCTGCGCTTCTCAACAAATAATTGCTTTTCTGACTTCTGCATTCAGTAGGTATCTTTGGAAAATAATTTCCTATTGGTACTGAGGCACCCTGGCTAAGTTTTGTAATTCTTGTTGACATTTGTTTATGGCACCAGGAAAGCATTATTAAGTTTTCAAATTCTAAAGATAGTTACTTTTTTAGTGACACGAGTCACTATGTCACACAGTTGATGCTTGAATATGGGTTTTCACTGTAGGAGCCCACTAACAGACAGATTTTTCTTTTCCTTTGCCACTGCAAGATAGCAAGACAAATCTCTCCTCTGCTTCCTCCTTATCAGACTACTCAACATGAAGGCAATAAGAATTAAGATCTTTATGTATAATAATTCACTTCCACTCAAAAGTGAATATATTTTTCCTTCTTATAAAAGTTTCTTTCCTCCAGCTCACTTTATTGTAAGAATACACTATATAGTACATATAAAATAGAAACTATGAGTTAATTGACTGTTTGTGCTTTCAGGAAGGCTACAGGTCAACAGTGGACTACTAGTAAAGTTTTGGAGGAGTCAAAAGAAAGAGATTTTCATATGAAGCAGATTTTCAGCTGCATGGGGGATCAGCACCCTAACTCTCATATTGCTCAAGACTCAACTGTAATTAATTCTCATTTACTAAATGCAAACCATTTATTGTAAAAATTAAATAGAGACCAGAGGTTCAATATCAACCTGGGCAAAATAAGGAGACCATGTCTCTACAATCAATCAATCAATCAATCAATAAAACCATGTTTCTTCATAGGTTATTGTGGGAGTTCAGTCAGGCTGGTGAGAAACATTTTAATATGAAGTTATAGGACATAGACACAAATCTTCTTGGAAGGCCAGAGGGTTTTGTAAAAGTCTCAAGATATGGTTATGGCTGAAAGCAGCCTAATTCTTACCTTGCATAAATAGCTTAAAGTGGATACAAAGGAAGGTAGAGTAGTTTATCTAAATAGCTTGTTTACTTATGTGGTCTTAAGACTAACCTTTGATCACCCATGGGCAGGATGGCTCTCCAGGGTGGGGATGACCAGGTTAATTACCCACGGGTGTGTTGACTCAAAGCTTTTGTCATTAAAACTTTACTAATAAATGCCCACAGGGCCAGCTAGCCAGGGCTGTGGCTGCTGACTCTTTACAGCATCTTCCTTGGTGTCTGTAATCAGCTCGGAATCCTTGCTGCTCTTTCACTGAATATCAGTATCTGGTTATGTGTCTCAACCATCTGCAGGACAGACCCCTGCAGGTTATAATATTCAAATGTTGTTGACAAAATCTCTCAGCATTTGCTTGTCTGTAAAGTATTTTATTTCTCCTTCACTTATGAAGCTTAGTTTGGCTGGATATGAAATTCTGGGTTGAAAATTCTTTTCTTTAAGAATGTTGAATATTGGCCCCCACTCTCTTCTGGCTTGTAGCGTTTCTGCCGAGACATCAGCTGTTAGTCTGATGGGCTTCCCTTTGTGGGTAACCCGACCTTTCTCTCTGGCTGCCCTTGACATTTTTTCCTCATTTCAACTTTGGTGAATCTGCCAATTATGTGTCTTGGAGTTGCTCTTCTCAAGGAGTATCTTTGCAGCGTTCTCTGTATTTCCTGAATTTGAATGTTGGCCTGCCTTGCTAGATTGGGGAAGTTCTCCTGGATAATATCCTGCAAAGTGTTTTCCAACTTGGTTCCATTCTCCCCGTCACTTTCAGGTACACCAATCAGATGTAGATTTGGTCTTTTCACATAGCCCCATATGTCTTGGAGGCTTTGTTCATTTCTTTTTATTCTTTTTCCTCTAAACTTCTCTTCTCACTTCATTTCATTCATTTGATCTTCAATCACTGATACCCTTTCTTCCAGTTGATCGAATCGGCTACTGAGGCTTGTGCATTCGTCACATAGTTCTCGTGCCTTGGTTTTCAGCTCCATCAGGTCCTTTAAGGACTTCTCTGCATTGGTTATTCTAGTTAGCCATTCATCTAATTTTTTTTCAAGGTTTTTAACTTCTTTGCCATGGGTTCGAACTTCCTCCTTTAGCTCAGAGTAGTTTGATCGTCTGAAGCCTTCTTCTCTCAACTCACCAAAGTCATTCTCCATCAGCTTTGTTCTGTTGCTGGTGAGGAGCTGCGTTCCTTTGGAGGAGGAGAGGCCCTCTGATTTTTAGAGTTTCCAGTTTTTCTGCTCTGTTTTTTCCCCATCTTTGTGGTTTTATCTACCTTTGGTCTTTGATGATGGTGACGTACAGATGGGGTTTTGGTGTGGATGTCCTTTCTGTTTGTTAGTTTTCCTTCTAACAGTCAGGATCCTCAGCTGCACGTCTGTTGGAGTTTGCTGGAGGTCCACTCCAGACCCTGTTTGCCTGGGTATCAGCAGTGGAGGCTGCAGAAGAGCGGATATTGGTGAACAGCAAATGTTGCTGCCTGATCATTCCTGTGGAAGTTTTGTCTCAGAGGAGTACCCGGGCGTGTGAGGTGTCAGTCTGCCCCTACTTGGGGGTGCCTCCCAGTTAGGCTACTCGAGGGTCTGGGACCCACTTGAGGAGGCAGTCTGTCCGTTCTCAGATCTCCAGCTGCGTGCTGGGTGCTGCGAGAACCACTACTCTCTTCAAAGCTGTCAGACAGGGACATTTAAGTCTGCAGATTCTGCTGCCTTTTGTTTGGCAATGCCCTGCCCCCAGAGGTGGAGTCTACAGAGGCAGGCAGGCCTCCTTGAGCTGCGGTGGGCTCCACCCAGTTCGAGCTTCCCAGCCTCTTTGTTTACCTACTCAAGCCTCGGCAATGGTAAGCGTCCCTCCCCCAACCTCACTGTCACCTTACAGTTTGATCTCAGACTGCTGTGCTAGCAATGAGCAAGGTTCCATGGGGGTAGGACCCTCTGAGCCATGCTCGGGATATAATCTCCTGGTGTGCCGTTTGCTAAGACCATTGGAAAAGCACAGTATTAAGGTGGGAGTGACCCGATTTTCCAGGTGCCGTCTGTCACCCCTTTCTTTGACTAGGAAAGGGAATTCCCTGACCCCTTGCGCTTCCCAGGTGAGGCAATGCCTCGCCCTGCTTCGGCTCATGCTCAGTGCGCTGCACCCACTGTCCTGCGCCCACTTTCCAACACTGTCCAGTGAGATGAACCGGGTACCTCAGTTGGAAATGCAGAAATCACCCATCCCTTTCTGCGTTGCTCACGCTGGGAGCTGTAGACTGGAGCTGTTCCTATTCAGCCATCTTGGCTTCTGTTATTAATTCCTACTTTTCATGATTAGATGTTCAATTATTTGTGGCTTGTAATTCAGGGCATGTAAGCTACTTTATAATTTGTAATAAAATTTATTTATAAATATATTAATTCATTAAATTGGATAACCTGATCATCCCCTGTTACTGAGCTCATCAATCACCCCAAGGGTTATACATTTTATAACAAGCCTAAGTTGTTAGGACAGTTGAGGAAACATAAAATATACAAACTTAAAACTTGCGTTATTTATACAAAAGTATTATATAGGATTTAGGGACCATAATTAAACAAATATTTTTTCAGGTAACATTTTTTGAGATTATAAACTGCCTACAACTAAATTCTTAACTAATTCTGAATTATAAACCAAAAAATCAAATCAAAGCTATATATATATATATATATACACACACACACACACACATACACACACCCACACCCACATATATGTATATATGTAAACACATGCTATTTACACATTGCTTTTTGAATTACCTTTTTGTGATCAACACTTCCATAATCTTATGATAGCACCACCAAGGGTAGTTTACTATCAGAAGTCTTACCTGGATTGGTATTTTGATGATTTTTAGATAATTTTCGTATATATTCCATAATTTGTTCATGAATGCTATGTATAAAAATGTGATAAATAAAATTACCATTTTAACACTGACTTTATAAAAAACATTTACCAAATTTATTAAGTTCTTAGAGCATTTCAGACAATATCAGAACTAACATCAGAACATTACTTATTCCATAGACTTTAAGTTTGTAAGCTCTATGAACTTATTAAGCTTCTAATTAAAGAAGAAATAAAGTAAGATGAAATACTCATGCATTTAGGGCAGTATAACTCAGTAAATTAACTAGAGTTAGCTTGGCTTAATGGAAAATCTCCCTAACTCAGAAAAAGTCCTAGCATGGTTACCAACGGGTATTTTTTCTTGAACAAGTTGCTTCTCTTAGGCTCAATGTCTTCTAAAAATGAGGATTTTAGAGCCCTATTTCACTAGACTATTATAAAGATCTAACAAGATAACATTTTAAAAATGCTCAAAGAAATAGTGAAGCAATGAAATAATTTGTTCTTGAACCTAATTGCTGAAACTGTTTTAAAATCCCAATAAAACCCAATGTGTTGGCCTGGTGCAGTGCCTGACGCCTGTGATGCAAGCACTTTGGGATGCTGAGACAGGAGAATTGCTTGAGCCCAGAAGTTCATGACAACCCTGGGCAACATAGGGAGACCCTGTCTCTACAAAAAATTAATTTTTTAAAAAAAGTGTTTCTTCATAGGTTATAATGTTCAAATGTTGCAGTTTTCTGTTATTAATTCCTACTTTTGGTTATTAGATGTTCTATTCTTTGTGGCATGTAATTCAAGGCATCTAAGCTATTTTATAATTTGTAATGAAATTTATTTATAAATATATTAATTCATCAAATTGGATAACCTGATTATCCTCTATTACTGAGCTCATCAATCACACCAAGGGCAGAAAACTAATAGATGTCAGCATCTGGCTTGGACTATTGCTACTCTTTATTTACCTCCTTAAACCTGAACTAACAAATCTTTGATAGAATGATGCTTAGTAACTATGATCATTTCCAGCTGCTGTGGAAGACAAAACCCACCACTGTTTTTTGTAAGTTCCACAAAGAAGATGCAAGTTGGTATTTTCTCATTTCTGAGATGCCTACTAACAGCATACTGCACACAAGATCCTATGTGTTACTCACCAAATCTCATTTCATACATCACCTTACATAAATATTTTTTGTATGAAAATCACAATTGCAATACTTGGTGTCACACATTTTGCTTTGACACATCATTTCCTTGGAGCTAGTTAGAAAGTAGTCAAATGTCCTTTTGGGGACTGCAAGAAATATGCAACACTTCACAGATTTGTGTGTCATCCTTGTGCAGGGACGATGCTGATCTTCTCAACATTGTTTCAATTTTAGTATATGTACCACTGAAGCCAGCACAAATCCCTACTTTTATACCTGAAGACTGATCAATGATGGATGAGGCTTAGCTCTGTTAAATCTAACCAACTTACTTGAGATAGAGTGAAGTCTATTGAATGGCTTCATGGTAATGCAGAATTTGAAAATATTTTAAAAACTTGAGATAGAGATGCAAGTAGCATGGGAGATTTTTACTTTTAGGAAAAAAGAATCACTTGAGGGTATAACCACAAGTTGGAACCCACTACAAATTTGGAAAGATGACAAGGGATCTTACGGAATAAGATAAGACCTTCTGCTACTTACAAAATGGCACTACACAGGATATAAAGTGCCAGGGATATAGATCTGGTAACAAAATAAAAATGGGTCTCTAATTTCTTCCTATAACATTACTTCAACCTGACTTACAGTTTTAAACTATCACAATTAATATTTGCAAGAGAAAATAGAAAAAAGTCATTCAAAGGATAACTTACCCTGAAGGTCTAGGCCAAGTCCAGGCTAAGATGTGGGTTTCACATCAGGTTTTGAGTGGAGGAGCAGGGTCAATTTGCTCACTACGTGTGTGGCTAAAGCTAAAAGTTCTAGCTGCCAGAGCAGGGTGCTGGTACTTTGGAAACAATGGCTGAGAATATGTATGTGAACTTTAAAAAACTGTAATAACTTTGAAATCTACATATGGATCACCATGAAGACTGAGGGATCTGTGTTAGTAAGGGCATCCTGGTCACAAAGGTCAATCATTACTAGACTGCAGGGGCAGTTTCAGTGGCAACAATGCAACAACAGAATCAATGGAAACAACAAAATAAAGAGAATGGTGATTTCTGCCCCCAATCCTTTTGACTTACACAAAAAGAATGTCTTCCTTGGACTTAGGGAACTCCTTAGATTTTTTTTAAAAAATTCAAGTATTTAGATATGGAAGACAGCCCCCAGAGGACACTATCAGGTTTTCTGCTAAAGTGGACACTTCAAGACCCAAATAACTAATTAGAAAAATCAAGTAGACAACATTAGGATCCCTAGGGATAAAGTTGTTGAAAGTCCTAAAATAAAGAATCCTGGACCCAATACTCCTTCTAACTAGTCTAGCTTTTTGCCTAGTTTCTGGCTGATGAAGTGAACTCACTGTAATTCAAAAACTACCTGAAACAAACTATAAAATCTCACCTAGCCTCTAAACGTAAACACTTACTGATGAAATCCACAAGTAACAGCATAATGTTCTGCAGTTACTCCACATATATCTGCAGCAAAGACGTCAACATTTTGCTGAAGAAGCATGCCAACTATCTCTGATGATCCATGACATACAGCAAGCATGAGGGCTGTGCTAAAATAACAAAGAGATAACTTCATTATTATGAGCAGAACCAATTTAATATGTGCCTGTCATTGTAGAATTAACCATTTACATGTACCAACAAACATAAGTATCTTGAGTGCTCAAGTGTTTATCCTTGTAAATCACCACCAAGGCTAAAAGGAAGGAGCAAAAAGATTCATGTCCCACGGGGATATGGCACACTAGAATTGGCTAATATAAAGTCCTTTGAGAGGCAAGAAATTATGCTCTGTTCACTAATCTAAAAGAGGCAAAGATTTAAATGAAAAATTATCTATTTCTTCCTTAGTCTGACATAATAGTTTATACTTCAAAATCAGCTAGAAGTCAGACAAGTGACAGCAATCTGAAGGCTTAAAACAATATTAGGAATAATGATATTAGTAGTAGTCATGCTAAGTTTAGTTAATGATGCTGATAAGAATGTATGAGACCCTGAATTAAATGCTGTTGACATTCATAATGTTACTTCAACACAATAGTCCTTAAAGGACATATTATTATTCTCCTTTTCATATAGAAAATCATACTTGGTATTAAGTAACGTTTGCAAGGTCACACCTATCAAGTGAGGAAGCTAGAAATTAAACTCAGTCTTGTGTGAATCAAAAGCCTATCTCTTTCCTCTTTATTACTCACCTATGGCTTAACTTAATTAACTAAAATTTTAATCCAATTAAAGATGTCTTTCTTCCTCTACCCATACAAATTAAAAATAAAAATACACTATGAATAAAAAAGGAAAAATAATAATAAATTCACAGTATCTGGTGATAGCAATTAATAGTCACGTAGGGATAACCTAAAATTAATATTCTTCAAAGAAAACAAGCAAACAGTCATCCTAAAGACAAAATGATTTTAAACTCCTATTTCTATTTAATTTTTCTTTTTTTTTTTCTTTGAGACAGAATCTCGCTCTATTACCCAGGCTGGAGTGTGGTGGCATGATCTCAGCTCACTGCAACCTCTGCCTCCAAGTTCAAGCGATTCTCGTGCCTCAGCCCCCCACAGAGTAGCTGGGACTACAGGCATGTGCCATCATGCCCAGCTAATTTTTGTATTTTTAGTAGAAATGGGGTTTCACCATGTTGGTTAGGCTGGTCTCAAACTCCTGGCCTCAAGTGATCCAACCACCTTGGCCTCCCAAAGTGGTGGGATAACATGCAACAGCTACCGTGCCCAGCAAATATTGCATTTTTTAAAAAGTGTATAAAAAACAGAGGTTAGAAAAATACTATAAAAGTGTTAATCATTTATAAAGTAAACTAAAAAAGTTCATACTTCTTAAAACTAATACAGAACCACTTTAGAAGATAATGCAACCAAAAACATCAGATTACACATAGGAATCAGTCAATATAATAAGAGAAGTCCTACTATATACTGTTCTTTATGTTGACCAGTCCAAATAATTGCTTTTCTTCTGATAATCTGTATTGATATTTTCACATAATCTAACAATTTTAAGTAAATGTTATTAAATATTTCTGACTTGAGTGTTATTACTCTAGAACACTACTCAAGTGTTTTTTAATAAAAAAAGAACTACTATACCATTTATACTTATTAACTGCATTCGCATTTGCATTTTTTATCAGCAAAAATTCCACAATTTGCTCACTTCTTTTCGTTATGGATAGTAAAAGTGGTGTGAGGCTAGCCTGTAAAATAGCAAAACAATTTATAATTCATGAAATTACATATTTCTCAGCTGAACTGAATACCTTATATAATATCTTATGAACTTAAACACATAAAATAGAAAGTAAATCAATAGCAGTCCCTTCTTTCTCCCTTTTCTGTGCTTTCCCATGCACTGCACCTTCCGCTGTAAATATTCAGCCTCTGCATCACCACATAACTCTGGTTATCTCCAAAAATCATTATATTGTAATGATTTTATGGTTTCCCATCTAAACCAAGAGCTTCTTGAGGGCAAGGGCTGTATCTTTTATCTCTATATCCTTAAACCCTAAGACATAGTAGTAAATACTTTGTTTTTGACTAAAGTAGTATTCTAATTTAGTGTTTCTTAAACTATATTCCAAAGAATAATTACCTTACCAGAAGCACTGTACCCCAACATATTCTACCATTATCTATGTTCAAGAAATATTATAAAACTGTGAATTAAATGTCCAGTATTCAATAAATGACTTGAACTTTGACTATTCCTTATTTGACAATATATTTTTGCAGCAGACATTAACATTTGACAAATTAGAATTTCAGGGATACAACTCTGAAAGCTTCCCAAGAAAAATGGAGGTTTCCTCTGGGTGATACAAACTCGCTTGATTCTCTTCTATCAATAATCCCAAGATCCCAGATGCCAATGTCAGGCACTCCTGTTCTACATGGGTCACTAAGGAAGCAACTCCAAATTAAAAGAGATTGGCTTCAAGTGAACTTTGATTGCTTATTATTAAATGGTCCATGGGGTTTCTCCTATTACAAGACAATAGAATTTTATCTCAGCTATTAGAAATTCAGTATAAAAGTTTATTCTCAATTATAATGATAATCCTAAAATTCTAATGCATATCTACTTCTTAAAATGCAGTAATCCATTTTTATTCTGGTTTCTATTGTAATTGCTATTTAATTTTTGGCAAAATATCAAAAATATTAATAAAATGGCTTATTAATGAAAGTTCTAACTCATCTATATGCATTAGCATAATAAAAGCCACTAAAACACTTGAATTTTAAGGGACAATTCTGAGAAGGATATAATATTATCTGCAACATGCATAACCTTTCAAATATAACCATGATTAATCTAAAAAGGCTTAAAGGCATTCTAATAGAAGATGATTATTTATAGTTTATATACAGAAAAATCATTGTTTAAAAAGTCCTCTAAATTCTAGAAGTCAACCCCATTATTAATGAATTAATGTAAAATATAAACTATATATTATAAATACCTATCAACTGTCTTGAATACCTTGAAATCTTTACCAAAATATACTATGAGAGAGGAATTGATAACTGAAGTATTTACAGAGGCAAAAGAGGTAAGCTGAGTAAGTGTTGTAACTAGGTGGGCACAGTAGCAAACTGGAAACATATGCTTTGTGTAAAGCTAGAATGTCTTCTTAGCATACCAAACAGTCATATGGGCTGGAGACACCAGATTCAATCCTTTAAGAGGAAATCCAGATTTCTGCATGTCTCCTAAATTTTACATGTTGACTCAATTTATGCAGGCAATTTTTGCTTTCCTCTAGTTTTACACTAATTGGAAAGAAAAAAAAACTTGGATGGGAAAGAATATTTGAAGAAGTTTTTACCTTTAACACATTCAAATATTTATCATAAATGCAGAGAAAATCCATACTCTCTAATAGTTCTTGTAAAAACATTAATATTTAAAGTAAAATCTTAGACAATTAAGTTCTTTCAAACTATTTTCATTCAAGGAATGTTTGAGCTTCCAAATATAAAAAACCTTACATATGTTAATGTTAAAACAAATGGATTTCAAATATTTTGAAAATAACATTGGTTAGTGTCTACCTTGTTGTGCACTTCGATGACTGCACCATGGGACAGCAGTTTTGCCACCACTGACAAAATCTCACTATAAACAGCATAATGGAGAGCCGTGTTGCCATACACATCTACGAGATTTATATCGGCACCAGAATCTATCAGAATATTTGCACAAGCCTCCTGATGGCATTGTAGAGCCTGTCAGTATTAAAGCAAGAATTATTGTAAACTGTATAATTTATAATATAAATTATTATAAATTATAAATTATAGGAAATCAAAATAAATATTCCACAGGTTTCAAAACTAGTTGTATTTCAATGAGATAAATTCATTTTTATTCTATGTATTTAAACCAAATCCATCTCCTGCTGAAAAATCTGGCTACTATTTACCTTCATCAGAGGTGTCCTGTGTTCGCCATCAAGGACGTCAAGCTGGCACTTTCTGTCTACCAGAAATGTTACTACTTCCTCATGGCCATTGACACAGGCCCAGTGTAGAGCAGTCCTACGAGAGTGAGAGGACTTTTTGGCAAAGTTTAGTCCACTGTCCCAAAACATACAATGAGTTATGTAACTGTAAACATTAAATACCACGCTCTTTCTCTGCCTTCAAAACAAATACTTAATATTCTCCTGAAGAAAGTACAACATTCATTTGCTCTCATTACTCACTACATTAAAGAAAGAGTGGCCTATTTGAATAGAAAGAGCTTGGCCTTTGGATTCAGTTCAACTCGGGCTTGAATATTACTTTAAGGTCTTTCACTTTCTAGCTGTCACTTAAACTTTCTGCACCTCAATTTTCTCATCAACAAAATGAAGATGAACACAGCAGTTATCTCACAGGTTATCACTATGATGCCTCAATGGGAATCTATGCAAAGTATTTTGAAGAGTTCCTAGCACATGTAACAGCTCAGTAATTGTTAGGTATTATAATTATTACTACTACTTAACAAAGACAGCATTTTAAGTAAAATGGTACAATTATGACTACATTGTGGTGTGTTTTAAAGGTTAGAGATAACACTGTATTTTAATGATTCTAAGATGCTCAATTTCTCATATTTTAACATTTCTGACATTGAAATGCCACTTATAGTTCATTATTTATTACAACTATATTTGGCAGAAATTTAAACAATCTTTTATTGGTGCATAAAATAAGGAGGCATCACACAATTCACAGTGCCTTCCAAGAAGTGGAATATGGTATATACAACAGGACGAGGCAGTCCTAGTCACAGGATTAACACTGAAAGAAATGTTAGCTTTTAAGAGTACTACGCAAAAGGAGAGTTGAAATAAAGACAACAAATTATTAAAACAAAGTACTTCTTTAATATTTTTAAAGCTTCAAGCCAAAGAAAACTTGGGATTCAAATAAATAGGTATGGCTCATCTTATTCCGTATTTAGATTTACAGAATGTATGTAAATTCATATTTAGATTTATAGAATGCATGTAAATTAGGTATTTCCAATGATTAATATTACTATTCAAAGCTATTATAAATTTCCAAAATCACGGTTGGTAGTTATATTTTACTAGTTTTTCACTTCAGAAGTGCTTTTTTTTGAAAGATGAGAGGAAAAGTTTCCATTGAGATTCAGTCCTAATACTCCAATTTTAAATCTCTCACTTTGCTCAGGCTGAGCAAGTAAATGTGAAATTTTTAAGAATGAAAGGGTCCTGAGAGTTAATAGAATGTATCTTTTACACAATAGGCATTCAGCTTACATGTGGTAAATGGATTAAAAGAATGGATCAATACAGTTGAGAAGTTCAATATCTTAAAACACTGCTATAAATAAAGCACTTATATTTGCTCTTTTATTTTTCTAATAATAAAACTACACTAAAATGATTAATCTGTAGTTATTGACGTATATGTAATAAATCTATATATAATAAAAATATGTGTCTAATAAAATGTACATGTAAATCAATAAGCACAGATAAAAAGATTCTCTTCTGAAGATGCTAAAAGTTCACAGAATATACTAATCCACAAAAAATAAAAATTAAAACATAGAAAGTGAGAAACTATTTTTATCTGTGCAAATTTCACATTGCTGATCTTCCCAAAAATTATTTTATTAACAATAAACTTTTACTAATAGCATTGTACATGCTCAATGCATAAATCAAAGATAATAAAAAGGAAAAACATTTTATATTAAAACAAATGTCCTCAAATAACAAATTTTATATTTTGTACATAATTTCAGATAACACAAGACCATAGTCTATGTGTATGTATAGTCAAACTGAACTTTACCCTCAGTTGGTACACCAAAATACATTTTCAAATGTCAACATACTTCTGTATATATTTCTACCTTGAGTGGTCAACTATTATCCCATGCTGTAAACTCACTGAAATGTATTTATAAAAGCCATTAAATGGATTCTTTTTAATACACTGATATTTTAAGAAGTGCTCAGAAAAGAAATTGCATGTATGTTTCATTATTTTCTAAAAATATTTTAGTATAATAGAATTGATCACTAATGGGCATATACAATTTTTTAAATATGGTACTTACCATCAAATTGTCTATTTGAAAAGTCATCTGCAACTTAAACTTTAAGGAGTACTATAAATATCACTGCTTTTTATCCTCACAAACTTTGTGGATAGAAAACAGTATTTGATTCCTTTTTTAACTTAAATGCCTTCTCTAACCAGGAACACTAAATATTATTTCCTGTGTGCATAGGTCAGTTGCAGATCTTAAAAAAGGACTTTGCCCAATTTTTAGATCTGCAATTTAGATCTCTAATTTAAATTTCCCAATTTTAAATTAGAGGGTTTTTTGTTGATTTGAGTGAATTCTCTATAAAGCGAAGATTTTTAAATCTAATATGTATACACACACACACATACATATGTAGTAAATATTTTTACAAGTATGCTGCCCTTTATTTTTTCTCATATGCAGGGTGACTTAATTTCTGTTTTACTAAATTGCCCTTCAGAGTGCTTGCTTCTGAGCTTCTTAAAAAGGTTTTGTCAAGATAAAAATGTATCTGTGTAAATAGGCATTTATATTTTCTTCCGGTATTTTTATCATTTTGTACATTAAAAACTTTTAATCTATATTCCATCAGGAACTTATTTTGTGGCACAAAAATCTAGTTTTCTCCAAAAAGCAGGCATTTCACTTAGGAAACTAATTCTTTTCCTGCTAGTATAAAGTGTGACCATTACCAAGTTCTAAATTCTTACATATATTTGGGTGTTTGTGGATTTTCTATTCTGTTGTATTTATTTACCTGTCTTTTCAGCTGTTAGCGAACAATTTGTGATTTTTTTTTTTTTTTTTTTTTTTTTTTTTTTTTTTTTTTGAGACAGAGTTTCACTCTATCACCTAGGCTGAATTGCAGTGGTGGGATCTCGGCTCTCTGCAATCTCCGCCTACCGGGTTCAAGCGATTCTCCCGCCTCAGCCTCCCCAGTAGCTGGGATTACAGGCACCCGACATCATGCCCGGCTAATTTTTGTATTTTTGTAGAGACGGCGTTTCACCATATTGGCCAGGCTGATCTTGAACTCCTGACCTCAGATGATCCACCTGCCTCCGCAGCCCAAAGTGTTGGGATCACAGGCGTGAGCCACCACTCCCGGCTCATCTTGTGCAAATTAATACCACATTTTGATATCTAGAAGGGCAAGACTTTTTTACTCCATTACAAAATATTTAAAATGTCATCACAATAGTAAAAGACAGCCTGTGTAATTTAAAAAATGTTAAAACGTTGATAACTTTATTTGGTTTATGTAAAACTGATAAAGAACTCGCATCCTGAGAAAAATGAGTCTTCTTAAATTCAAGAACATAAACCATCTTCCCACCTCGAAGTTTCCTTCTAAGGTCCCTCAGCAAAGAACATATTTACATAGACATTCATTGATATCAAAATGGATATTGGACTCTATCCAGATAATTTTTAGCCAAGAAGTACATATATTATGGGAATTATTTCATTACGCACCATTTCATAATGTATCTAACATTATCTTTTAAAACCTGTACATTAAATGTAAAACCCTGTATGTACTTAATTTTGTGAGTTAAATCACTTTAAAATTCTCTACACAGTCCTCTGTGAGAGGAAGTGGGAGTGAAGGAGAAAGCAGCTAAAGTTTGGGGTTGATTTTAAGGTGGCATGGGCCCTCCGCCCTGCAGGGACCCCGCATCCCAAGCCTGGGGGCCTGCCCAGGAAGAAGGCCTAGACCCGAGGGCCCAGGATGGCTGCCCCGCTGCCCGTTACTCCTCCACCTGCTCCCTTCTTCCCCAGGCCCCCCAGCCCCCGACTCTGAAGGGGCGATCCTCCCACCGCCCCCACCTCCTCCTGCAGCCCCGGCTCAGGCAGGGCCTGGTACCTCTTCTGGGCGTCTTGTATATTAAGGTTGATGGTCTTCTTCCTCTTTGTCATCTTCTCCAGCTTCCGGACTTGTCCCCGGGAGGCAGCTTTATGGATCTTTCTAAGATCCCCAGAGTGGACGATGTAGGAGTCGTTGCTGGTATAGACTAGCTGGCTGAAAGGGCTCGGGCGCTCCGGGCCCGGCACGACCTTGACAGCGGCGGCAGAGATCTCCTCCATGGCTGCGGCCACCTGCTAGAGAGTGCCCGCGCCTCCCGATCGCCCTTCCCAGCCACCACCCCCCACCCCTCCCCAATCGCCCTCGCCCTTCTTCAGTCCACGCACCGCCTCGATACCCGTAAAAAGTTCTGTGTTCGCCAAGCTCTTGCACACTCAGGCCTCTCTCAGTAGAATCGCGCTGAGCAGAGCCGTTAGCCAGCAGCGCATGCGCAGCTCAGCAGGCTGAGGAGACACGCGCCCTGGCCGCGTTCTCCGGGCACCGCGTGCAGGTGGCAACTGCCGCTGAGGCACTGCGAGGCTGGCGGGCCTCCCTGGAGCGGAAAGTGGGGGGCGCCATGCCACATGGCCCGCTTGACATAGCCGCCCCTGGCCCCTCCTCGACCTGCGATCCAGGAGCCGGACCCTGATGCTGGGCACGGTGCAGCCTCTTGGGTGGCACTGAGTGTCGGTTCCCGCCCTCCTGCAGCCAGGGACCCACCCCCTGACTTAGGCGCCCTGGAGGCTTCTGGCCCAAGGATCCGCGCTGCTGGTGACGCTGACAGGGTCGAGGTTGCAGCCCCTGCTGCCGCGTGCCATGTTCAGGTGGGAGCTGCACCTGAGTCCACGGTGGAGGCTAATCTTGTATTTTTTTAGTAGAGACGGGGTTTCTCCATGTTGGTGAGGCCGGTCTGGAACTCTTAGGCTCAAGCGATCTGCCCAGGATCGCAAAGTCCTGATCCCAGGACTTCGGAAGGCTGAGCGGGGCAGATCGCTTGACCCTAGGAGTTCCAGAACTGCCTGACCAACATGGAGAAATCCTGTCTCTACTAAAAAAAAAAAAAAAAAAAATACAAAATTAGCCGGGCATGGTGGCACATCCCTGTAATACCAGCTATTCAGGAGGCTGAGGCAGGGAAATGGCTTGGACCCGGGAGGCGGAGGTTTCAGTGAGCCGCCCGTGGCCCCTCCTCGACCTGCGATCCAGGAGCTGGACCCTGGCGCTGGGCACCGTGCAGCCTCCGCGGTGGCACTGAGTGTCCGTTCCCGCCCTCCTGCAGCCGGGGACCCACCCCCTGACTTAGGCGCCCTAGAGGCTTCTGGCCCATGGATCCGCGCTGCTGGTGACGCTGACAGGGTCGGGGGCGAGCCACCACGCCAGGCTGATGTATTCCCTTCTGATGAATAAATTGACTGGGTGCCAGTTTATCACTAGAAAAGATGGATTACCTCACTAAACCACCTTCCAAACCTCTCCTCTCGGTTTCCTGCATTGGTTACTTTTTTTTTTTTTTTTTGAGACGGAGTCTCGCTCTGTTGCCCAGGCTGTAGTGCAAGGGCGCCATCTCGGCTCACTGCAACCTCTGCCTCCCGGGTTCAAGCGATTCTCCTGCCTCAGCCTCCCGAATAGCTGGGATTACAGGTGCGTGCCACCACGCCCAGCTAATTTTTGTACTTTTAGTAGAGATGGGGTTTCACCATGTTGGTCAGGCTGGTCTTGATCCTGATCTCGTGATCCATCTGCCCCGGCCTCCCAAAGTGCTGGGACTACAAGACAAGCATGAGCCAATGTGCCCCTCTGTAATTTCTTTTCCTTTTTCTTTTTTTTTTTTTGAGGCGGAGTCTCGCTCTGTCACCCAGGCTGTAGTGCAGTGGTGCTATCTCAGCTCACTGCAAGCTCCGCGTCCTGGGTTCATGCCATTCTCCTGCCTCAGCCTCCCCAGTAACTGGGACTACAGGTGCCCGCCACCACACCCAGCTATTTTTTTTTTTATATTTTTAGTAGAGACGGGGTTTCACCGTGTTAGCCAGGATGCTCTTGATCTCCTGACCTCGTGTTCCACCCGCTTCGGCCTCCCAAAGTGTTGGGATTACAGGCGTGAAACACCGTGCCTGGCCAATTTCTTTCTTTTTTTTTTTTTTTTCTTGAGACAAGTTTAGTTCTTGTCGCCCAGGCTACAAGGTAATGGTGTGATCTCGGCTCACTACAACCTCCGCCTCCCAGGTTCAAGCGATTCTCCTGCCTCAGCCTCCTGAGTAGCTGGAATTACAGGCATGTGCCACCATGCCGGCTAATTTTGTATTTTTTCTTTTTAGTAGAGACAGGGTTTCTCTATGTTGGTCAGGCTGGTCTCAAACTCCCGACCTCAGGTGATTCGCCTGCCTCAGCCTCTGAAAATGCTGGGATTACAGGCGTGAGCCAGCACGCCCGGCCAGTTACTTTGTAATTTAAGTAACATAAATGCTGGCCGGGCGCCGTGGCTCTAGCCTGTAATCCCAGCACTTTAGGAGGCCAAGCCCGGTGGATCACCTGAGGTCGAGGTCGAGACCAGCCTGGCCAACATGTTTAGTAGAAACAGCCGTCTCTACTAAACATACAAAAATTAGCTTGCGGCCTGGCGCGGTGGCTCAGGCCTGTAATCCCGGCACTTCGGGAGGCTGAGGGAGGCAGATCACCTGAAGTCAGGAGTTGGAGACCAGCCTGGCCAACATGGCAAAACCCTGTCTCTACCAAAAATAGCCGGGAGTGGTGCTGCACACCTGCAATTCTAGCTACTAGGGAGGCTGAGGCAGGGAGAATCACTTGAACCTGGAAAGCGAGGTTGCAGTGAGCCAGATCAAGCCATTGTACTCCAGACTGGGCAACTGAGCGAGCCTCCGTCTCAAAAACAAAGTCTAACTAAAAATAAAAAATAAAAAGTCTAACAAATTGTAGAGACTACATTTCATTAACTTACAGTGTTTTCTTTGTTAGTTTACACTAACTAAAATTTAATTGCTATTTATTCCAGAATAGGCTAGAAAGGTATAATGGGCTCTTTTTTCCACTGAAGATAAAAAATAGGAATGATTGTTCTTGCCTATTCTGGGGTACTTGAGGTCCTTGGATCTTCACAAAGGAACTCACAATTTCTGTTCTTCTGAGTTTTATCCCTAGTGAAATTGATTCTTACCAATTAAGCATCAGTAAAATGACCAAAGTAACTATAACATGATGAAGCGTTAATAACTGAAAACATATTCAACTATACACGGCCACCACTAAGACCTTGATCAACAAAAGGATAAAGAAAATGAACGCACATTTAATACATACATGTATATATGGGACTGTGTTCTTTTCACTAGTAGCAATTAAATAAATGCTAATATAAAAAAGAGTAAATGAACCATCCTACACTATTAAACAGGCATAAGAAAGGAATACCGATGGTCTGGTACTACCAAAAGGCATAGTAATATTTTTCTGGGCGCATTGTAAATTAGCATAGTGCTTTCTGGAGGAAATCTGCCAATGTTTTTAAAAATAAAAGGATTTAATTCTCTTTGATCTAGTGGCTTATGCTTTGAAATTTATTCTAAGGAAATTGTTCAAATGAACAAAAATATACATAAATGAAATTATTTGTAGCATCATTATTTCCAATAGGGAGAAATTAGAAATTACTTAAGTTCACCATAGAAACGTGGATAAATGATAGACTATCAACTTAGAAACATATTGTATTATTGGCCAGGCGCGGTGGCTCGCACCTGTAATCCCAGCACTCCGGGAAGCTGAGGTGGGTGGATCACTTGAGGTCAGTAGTTCTAGACCAGCCTGGCCAACACGATGAAACCCCGTCTCTACTAAAAATACAAAATACAAAATTAAAATTTTAGTCTCTACTAAAAATACAAACATTAGCTAGGCGTGGTGGCACGTGCCTGTAGTCCCAGCTACTTAGTAGGCTGAGGCAGGAGAATTGCTTGAACCTGGGAGCCGGAGGTTGCACTTAGCTGAGATTGCGCCACTGCACTCTAGCCTGGGGGACAGAGCAAGACTCCATCTCAAAAAAAAGAAGAAGAAAAGAAACATATTGTATTCTCTGTTAGAAAGGGTAGATGAATGGAAAAGTATTAATAATGAAAATAACCAAAAATTTGACTTATAAACTATGGAATTATAACTATTAATATTTGAAAATATATGCAGATCTATAATTCTTCATATGGAATTACAAAATTCAACATTTATGAATATCTAAACGTAAGTTTGGTAAAATCTGATCTATGCTGATGTAGGAGTATTATAGTCTTGTTTTTTGAGACAGAGGTTTTGCTCTGTTGCCCAGGCTGGAGTGCAATGGCACGATCTGGGTTCAGTGCAATCCCCACCTCTTGGATTCAAGCAATTCTCTTGCCTCAGCCTCCCGTGTAGCTGGGATTACAGGCACCCACCACCACACTCAGCTAATTGTTAATAGAGACAAAGCTTCACCGTGTTGGTCAGGCAGGTCTTGAACTCCTGACCTCAGGTGAGCCACCCACCTCAACCTCCCCAAGTGCTAGGATTACAGGTGTGAGCCACCACACCCGGCCAGGGGTAGTCTTTATTGATCCCAGTTCATGTGATTATTCATATGATTTGACACTAGGGATATTCCAAAATATGCAGTATATTTACCACATTACCTTTCTAAAATCTAAATATTTTTGAATTGTGATTTCAAAGAACTCTGACTTTGAAATCTTATTTTGAAATCTGATTCTAACGATTTCAGATAAGCTATTGGAAAATATCACAAATGACAAAAATTTTGCATTAAGATAAAATTGTTGATAAATTTAAATCACTTTGCACCCGAGCATGGTGGTTCATATCTGTAATCCCAGCACTTTGGGAGGCTGAGGCAGGTGGATCATGAGGTCAAGAGATCAAGACCATCCTGGCCAACATGGTGAGACCCCGTCTCTACTAAAAATACAAATATTAGCTGGGCGTGGTGGCACATGCCTGTAGTCCCAGCTACTCGGGAGGCTGAGGCAGGAGAATCGCTTGAATTCAGGAGGCAGAAGTTTCAGCGAGCCAAGATCGCACCACTGCACTCCAGCCTAGTGACAGAGTGAGACTCCGCCTCAAAAAAATAAAAATAAAAAATTAAATTATTTCCTATATCATAAGGGTCTAATTTAAAAAAAAAAAACTTTTTTGTAAAATATCCTGTACGTGTATTAGTATTATTAGTTCTTATCACTTCATCAATGTGAGGCATAAATAAAATTTGTTAAGTTAAAACTTTCGGTATACTTTCATTCATTCATTCAATCGTTTATTTATTTAGAGACAGAGTTTCGCTCTATCACCCAGGCTCGAGTACAGTGGCGTGATCTCGGCTCACTGAAATCTCTGCCTCCCAGGCTCAAGCGATTCTCGTGTCTCAGCCTTCCAAGTAGCTGGGACTACAGGCATGCGCCACCATGCCCAGCTAATTTTTAAAAGTCCTATATCATACAAGAACATTAGAGTTCTGGGATTATTTTTTGTTTGTTTATTTAAGAGACAGGGTTCTTACTGTATCACCCAGGCTGGGGTGCAGTGATGTGATCATAGCTCACTGTAGCCTCAAACTCCTGGGAAAAGCAATTCTCCCACCTCAGCCACCCCAGTAGCTATGACTACAGGTGCTTGCCACAATGCCCAGTTAGTTTTTAAATTTTCTGTAGAGATAGGTCTCACTGTTGCCCAGTCTGGTTTCAAACTCCTGGGCTCAAGGGATCCTCCCCACTTGGTTTCCCAAAGTGCTAGGATTACAGATGTGAGCCACCATGCCAGGACAAGAACGTGAGACTTCTCTTACCATTTTTTAATAACTAAGTGGAATAGTATAGTATTATGTGTCAGCGTTGAATTATTTTAAAATATTATGCACTGAAACATGCTAATAATCTCGGTCAGTTTCTATTTTGTCCTAGGCTTAAACATATTAGCTAACATGAGGGGCCCAAAATTAATACTGATTACATACCATCTCCTTATTTATTTATGTTTTTGAGACAGAGTTTTGATCTGTCACCAAGTTTGGAGTGAAGTAGCATGATCTCGGCTCACTGCAACATCCGCCTCCCATGTTCAAGTGATTCTCCTGCCTCAGCCTCCAGAGTAGCTGAGATTACAGGCACCCACCACAATGACCAGCTATTTTTTGTATTTTTAGTAGAGATAGAGTTTCACCATGTTGGCCAGGCTGGTCTCGAACTCCTGACCTCAAGTGATCCGCCCACCTTGGCCTCCCAAAGAGCTGTCATTACAGGCGTGAGCCACTGTGCCCAGCTGCCATCTCCTGTCATTAAAAATTTGTGAGCTGAAAATAATTCAAGGGCAGTTATTTTCATATAGAGTCATTTAATCAAATAGGGATTAATATTAATAACTAGTATTAATATTTATTTTATCTAAAATTATGTCTGATTTTTCTAAAGTCTCTGACTTGCTAATAATGTTAAATGTTAGGTTGAATACATATAATTAGGTCTGTGTGGATGCACTATGTAAATAAAATTGTTTTTAACATTTTGTAAGTTCTGCTGCTTTACAAGTCTTATTATCTTTGTTCCATTTTTGATACCAAAATTTTAACTGTGATAATTAGGCTGGAGACACCAAATCAAGGGTATGTTTATATAATCACTCTCAAGGATCTCAAGGGTCACTTTCTGGTTACATTATGAAAATTGTAAAAGGAATCAAGTATATATTCCCGATAATAGCTCTTGATAAATCATATAAATCTATATGATAGATACAGATATAGTTTAAGATTCAAATCTAGATATATTCAGCAACTCTGTAATTTATCAAAAGGTTTTGGTTAAAATTTAAGACATTCCTCAATATAGAATTAGTTCTAAAAAATTTGTTGCAATGAAGAATGTTAACAACTTACTTTCCTGTTTTCTCTGAATACTGAACAATTCAAGATAGATACAGAAGTAAAGCATAATCAAATAAACATGTGAGCTTTGTAGCTCACGGTGTTGTTGGCGTGGTGCTTAGCAACAGGGATTTTCCTACACTACACTCCATTACATGGTACCCTTACCTAGTCGGTCACATATGGAGCAGAAACTTTATTGCTAAATTTACAGCATAGCAGAGGCAGAACAGAATTCATTTTCACTGCAGGCTGGCACATCCTAAAGAGAAAAAACACGGAATGGGTGATATGAGCTACCCTAGTTTATTCCTTTCTTCTAATATCTCCAATCACCTCCACTTGAGGAACTAGTGAACACAGGCACAGGAGCAGTGTTCTAAACGACATTAGATGTCCTTCAATATCTTTGTCAGTCTAAATTCAAAGGAAATGTTTTAACTCAAGTAAAAAGACTAGAAAAGAAAGCTAACCCCTATGGGGATGAAGAAATTTTTGTTTTTGTTGTTGTTTTAAAATCTCTTGTTTTTGGCCACAGGCACTCTGAGCTAGAAGAAAATATTTAGGAGAAGGATGAGAAATCCTTCTGTATTGAATAAGGGAATTACTCCCAGATGGCAGTGGTGTAAATCTACTATGAAAACAACTATACACACACACACACACAAACACACACACACACATATAAATAAATATATATAAACATATTTAAAATATATTTATAGAAAATGTCTGGAATCTTTTTAGAGTCTGGAGTCCTTCTTGATGGCCTTAATTTATAAAAATAGCCTCAAATTATTTTATTTAATTAAAAACTGTAAGAGATTAACATTTTCTCCTCATAAGGTCTAATCAAGTATTTTTCTTTTGAATGAAGAAAAAATGTACATTGTCTGTAAAAAATTAATTCTTTGATTTAGTAGTTAGCAGTGAACAGTTGATATGGTTTGGATGTTTTATCCCCTCCAAATCTCATATTAAAATGTGACCTGTATTGTTGGATGTGGGGCCTTGTAGGAGGTATTAGGTCACGGGAGCAAACCCCTCATGAATGGCTTGGTTCCCTCCCCTGGGTAATGAGTGGTAAAGAGTCTACAGGAGATCTAGTTCTTTAAAAGAGTGTGGCACCTTCCCTGTCTCTCTTGCTCCCTCTCTTGCCCAATGACATGCTGGCTCCCCTTCAAATTCTGCCATGATTGTAATCTTACTGAGGCCTTCACCACAAACAGATGCTAGCACTATGCATTGTGTACCATCTGCAGAACCAAGGGCCAAATAAATCTATTTTCTCTATAAATGACCCAGTCTTAGGTATTTCTTTTACAACAACACAAACACACTAACGCACTGGTGAAAATCAACTTAAATACTTAAATACAGGTAATAACATAAATTTAAAATGCAAACTAAGAGCTGTAAATTTATATTTCCCCTTCAAAAATTAGCATTCTAAATTCTCTCCTTACAATTTGTTTTACTTTATACACTTCCAACTTCCTATGTTCAAGTTTTCAGAAGACATTGAAGAACATCACATCATTAGAGAGAAGAAAAGGAAAAATTGGCTACGAAAATTAAGCATACAACGTGTTGAATTAATAGAGTTTTGCTGAACAATTATTGTTAATGGAGTTTATATTTTTAAGTATAAATATTTTTCTGAATGATATCTTTAGACAAAGTTTTTTCAGTATAGGATATTTGCAGCAAATGGTTCCCAAGGATCCCAATTATTAAACAAAACACAAACATAAATTGATTTCAGAATATCAAATATGCCTTAATAATTATTTTAGGTAGCTATAAAAAGTAGTTACAAGATTGAGAGGCATTTTGACTTCTGGGAAGACTTTAAAAACATGAAGCTACATTTCCCACCATCAAAGATTTATGTGTAAGAGATTTGTCTCATTTTGTTCTAATTAGAGCAAACAATTTGCCCATAGGCATCTAAACTCATTCTGAGTTTGACATCACAACACAGTTTATAGTCTCTGAGGAAAAATGAAAGGAAACTAAAAGATTTTATTTTTCAGACATCAAATCACAAAACAAAACAGTTAGTCCAATTTTCTTTGGGTTCTCAGTGGTACATTTATGTCTTCAGGGTTTAAAAAACCACACTTTTGACCAGGCGCTGTGGCCAACGCCTGTAATCTCAGCACTTTGGAAGGCCAAGGCGGACAGATCAAGATGTCAGGAGATAGCGACCATCCTGGCAAACATGGTGAAACCCCGTCTCTACTAAAAATACAAAAAAAATTCGCCGGGCATGGTGGCGGGCGCCTGTACTCCCAGCTACTTGGTAGGCTGAGGCAGGAGAATGGCGTGAACACGGGAGGCGGAGCTTGCAGTGAGCCGAGATCGCTCCAGGGCACTCCAGCCTGGACAACAGCGCGACTCCGTTTCAAAAAAAAAAAAAAACCGTTTTGCATGCTTAAAAATAAAAGACTCGGTTCAAGAGTTCACCTTTGTAACATCTTTGCGATTCTTCTTTAAATCTGTAGGTCTAAAACTTTGCTAAAATAAACATTTAGTGAGAAACAAGTTCACATGCGTTGCTTGCTGAAAGAAACTGCTAAAGGGAATGCACTAAGATGTGGAACACAATTATACAAAGTAAATACTCATCGTACATGCCAGATGTTTCCTAAATTTAAATTGTTAAATGGCCATCGTGGAAGAATCATTTTAGTTTTAAATTCCATAATAAGCAAAATAACTTTCTTATACAGAAACATTTGTTCTTTTGTGTATAAACCAAATCAAATATCATATGTTACACATAAGCTATGAATCATGTATAATGTAGCTTATCCAAAAATATTTTAGATGAACCTGTCAGTATTTTTTATATTATCCACATAGAACTGTTTTAAGATAAATCATTTCTTCATTTTTCATCTCAATCAATATTTATAAGAGATGACGTAAGTTACATGACTCAGCTAATCTACACTGAAAGCATTGGATAGGTGAATTACAATTTTTGCTCAAATATGGAAAAAATTGGACTGATTATAATCAAAATCATCAACTGTCATTTACTTTTCCTGCAAGCTCCTTACTTAATATAAAATCAGACATAAAGAAACTAATTTATCCCCTTAAGTGTTATAAACATTTTCTTGCATTTCATTATTTCTTTAGTTGTCAATTTTGATAGTGTTTGACTAGAAGTCGAGAATAGGAAATTCACTAACATAGGTTCTCAGTCCTCATATATTTTTGAAACATTGAAATCAACCTTTACCCAACTCCACTCTAGAGGCTAATGTTGAAATACCTGGCTGAAAGCAATGCCAAGCCAATATCTCCGAAATATAGAGAAAGTTGGCTATTATAATTCTCTTTATGATTATATTTATATTTATATTTTTATTATATATGAGAGACAGAGCAAATATTAGACATGAAAAATAACAAATTTTATTAAAAACATGCTGAACTCGGCCAGGCACAGTGGCTCATGCCTGTAATCCCAGCACTTTGGGAGGCCGAGACAGGCGGATCAGGAGGTCAGGAGATCGAGACCATCCTGGCTAACATGGTGAAACCCCAACTCTACTAAACACACAACAATTTAGCCTGGCGTGGTGGCAGGTGCCAGTAGTTCCAGCTACTCAAGAGATTGAGGCAGGAGAATGGCGTGAACCGGTGACGCAGAGCTTGCAGTGAACCGAGATCATGCCACTGCACTCCAGCCTGGGTGATAGAGCGAGACTCCGTCTCAAAACAAAACAAAACAAAACAAAACAACAACCACAACAAAAAAAAACATATTAAGGTCTACAACTTTGTCATTTCTTAACTATATGACCTTGGGTGGGCCAGTTACTTAGTTTCTCATTGCCTTGGTTTTCTTCCTTGAAAAGTGAAGAATTGTTTTCTTCATAATTATCTCATAATCATTTTCTGAAAACTTAAAACACTAGAAACATTGCCTGGCACTGAGTAAATTATTAGTTTTTAGTATTAGTATTGATTCAGATTTTTCCTATTTAAAATGAGATAATGACTCATTTTCTGCATGATTTTATAGGATATAAATTTAGATACAAATCAAGACATATTTGAAATAACGGTTTATACATTCAACCTCACATTTATTGGATGAAACCCCACATTTCTCTATATTTGATAGCATAGGTGACATTCACATCCTATTTTGCCTCATTATTGAACAGTGTCTCACCTAATTTTCTAGATGTCATAATTTATTTACTCTTGTCTCGTTTTCATAATGGTGTATACTGCATATTTTGAGACATAGTACATTTAATTGAGTTATTTTCTTGCTCAAAAAGAAAACTAGTTCCACATCCATCAAATCTTCAGTTTAAACTTAGAATTTAAAAGAAAAAACTATTCTATGGCAATGATCATAAACTGGCAAACTGGTATCTCATGGGTTGGATTAAGGCTGACTGACAGAATGACCTTGAAGGGCCATGTGTTTGCATGTTTACTCACCTTAAAATAAAAGAATTTTCTGTATGGGTTTATTTTACTAAGATTAGTGAGCCTTTTAAATGAGACAGGTGCTTCCGATTCATCATCTATGTCCCTGCCCTGTCCCTCCGTACTCACAAATCAAGAGTCTGAGTGATGTAATATCATTTGAAGGTTGACTGTGATAAGTTAAAGCTGCATATTATGAACTATGAAGTAACTACCAAAATAACAGGAGTTACGCCTAAAACCCAATAAAGAAAAAATAGGATCATAAAAATCAACATAAAGCAGAAAAAAATATGGACCAGAAAAGCAAATGATAAAATAGAAAAAATATAGTGAGATGTTAGATTTAAAACCAACAATACGAATAATCTGATTAAATGTAAACTGTGGCTGGGCACGGTGGCTTATGCCTGTAATCCCAGCACTCTGGGGGACTAAGGGGGTGGACCACGAGGTCAGGAGTTCGAGACCAGCCTGGCCAAGATGGTGAAACCCTGTCTCTACTAAAAATACAAAAATTAGCCGGGCGCCTGTAATTCCAAGCTACTCAGGAGGCTGAGGCAGGAGAATTGCTGGAATCCAGGAAGCAGAGCTTACAGTTAGCTGAGATTGCGTCCCTGCCCTCCAGCATGGGCAACAGAGCAAGACTCACTCACAAAAAAAAAAAAAAAAAAAAGTAAATTGTATAAACACTCAAAGTCAGAGCTTATCAGATTGGATAAATAAGTGAGACACAAATGTATGCTATCTACAAGAAGTGCATGTTAAATATAAAGACACAAATATGTTAATATTAAAAAAGTACTCTGTTGGCAGGGTGTAGTGAATGGAAAGGCTGAAATATAAGAGCTAATATGGCAGTTAAAGGAAATGGCAATGACGGTAAAACTAAAAAGGTTGATGGAAAGAGTAACTGAGGTTGAAAGACTGGCAGGGGCAAGATTATGTATCCATGTAGAAGAGTTTGCAATTTCTCCTTTGAACATTTGGAAGGGACTTAAACAGTGAGAAGTTATGGACAGATTTGCATTTACACTCTAGAAAGAGCATTGGCTCAAGTGTGACAAATGGAATGGAGTGAATTGAGGGGAAGTCAAGGAGAGCAGGTGAGACACTATTTCAGTAGACAAGGTGAGAGGCGGTGTGTTGGAAGACTAGCAGTCATGGTGTTGCAGGAAAGTGGGTCCACTCGAGAATATTCAGGAAGAAGGATCAAGTGGGTGTGAGTAGTGATTGAATGTGGATGGTTGAGTGAAGAAACTCAAGCGTCACTAACAGAATATGGCTTGGTGATAACTTTAAATGAAGTAAGATAACGAGGCTTTGGGGAAAAAGTGCTGGGTTAAATTTTTGACAATGCTGTGTGATGCCCAAGTGGAGTTTTTGAAAAAGACAGAAATGAGTCTAAAACTCAAGGGAAGTTGTTGTTTGATTGGAATTATAAATTTGGGAGTTATCAGCATAGCTATAATTCAGTTTCTAACCAACTACAAAGAAAAAAATAAAAACCTCAAAGAACAAATAGGCCAAAAAATTGACATTCAGGTCACTGTTAACTTTTCTTATCACTAAGCCTGAAGGCCATTGTCCTTTTATTCAGGTTTTCCTTTGTTCTTTAGAGGGTGAATTAGCATGTTCCTTTAATGTTTCCATATGGAATTCTCATGCATTTTGAAGTGAAAGGGTTATAAATGTCATATAATTTTCCTTGGCATTTTTATTTTCTGCAAGTAAAGAACATTTCACTATAAAGCATTCATAATGATACTGATTTTGTTGGTCATATTCTCCAGCTACTAATTTTCCATAAAAGTTCGCTTGGGGGAAAAAAAAGGAAAAACACTTTTTATTAGGATTTGAGCTAAACTGAGTTAGCTCGTTCACGGCAAAGAAGTCATTTATTGCTGACATGGGCCCTGTTGCTGATGGTCTTTCTCCATAAATCTAGCATGTCCTGTGAAAGGTTAATGCTGCAGTTTAGCAGCCAATTCCATCCAAAGTGTAGTGAAAATTAGCATACCCTTTTTTACTTAGTTATGTGTATGCATATCAAGAGTCTTTTTAAAATTCAGACTCGAAATAATCCAATGTTAAATAAATAAAAATAATTGATTGTGTCATGTATTATGCTAGAGTTTTATATTCCTAAACTCATTAAAGCTTCTCAATCATACTTTCCAATTGGTATTGTTATCTTTAATAATGTAGATGAAGAAAATGGGTGCCTGAAAGGTGGGTCTTTCTCCAGAAGTGACAAGTCATAATTCCCAAGTCCAAAACGTCAACAAAAATGCAAAACGTTATGGATAAATAATACCCTAGGAAGGCTTGAACATTCGTCATTGTGCAAGCAGAGGGTCATTGAGAACTGGCTCCGAGAATCCCAAGAATTTTTCTTGCTGTCCTTTTGTTTATCGTCATTGTGTGCATTTCCCCAATGCTTTGGAAATAATTTGGAGTCTTTACAATGAAAGATGAAATCTTTATTGTGACAACACAGCAATCTAATTTATCTCTGACATGGTTCCCCCTTTACCCAGCATAAATGGAGTGCCAGCTTAATGATGTCATTCTCTATAATATAGGATATCAAACAAGGAAGAAGTCATTTGGGGTCTGCACCGGGGAAAACAATGAACAATGTCTTTCAGCTTCCTGTGAGCACCACTGCAAAGGTTCCTAAATTTATCCCTAGGGTTTCCAAAAGGTAGAGATTGAGTATTGCACAGAGCTAGTGTAACTAGCCTCACAGGATCATTCTAAAGATAAAATGAGATAATTTGAGTAATGAGATCTAGCATAGTGACTTGAACTTAATATATTCTTATTTTTTTCTTTCTATTTTTTTTTCTGTTTCTAGGTTGATTACTTCAGGCTAGAAATATACCTTTGAATTTTGAAAGAAAATCTCTCTCTCTCACTCTGTGTGTGTGTGTGTGTGTGTGTGTGTGTGTGTGTGTATGTATGTGTTTGCAACTTTGGCTCTCTAAAAGGAAAAGTGTAAAATTTTCTAGTTTCAGTTTTCTGTACCCTAACATTTAATTTCATCTAGACCTGGAAAGAATAAAACAAACTTTTGAATCTGCTGAAGTCAAAAGGTTAAAGTATCTGTGCTAAAAATACATAAACAAAAACAGCAACAACCACAATATTCTAATGAAATGTAATAGGTGTAAAATAAACTTATATAAAATAAAAAAGAGAAAACAATAGAAAGAATAAGCAACTGAAGCTTTAAGCAATGTTACCCGATGAGAGTTTTGAAGGAATTTTGGAATTTTCAGGAGTTTATATGAAAAAGTGTAAGTTTAGGAAAGAGAAAATTATGGGCAGATACAGAAGGCATAAGCCATGTAGCACGTTTGGGAAACTTCACAGAATTTGGCAGTGGTGAAATAAAAAGGCCAAAATTCTACATCGAGGCTCGGTTCTGATTGTGGTCTACCTTCTATGCAAAGGAACTGGACTTTTCCCTCAAAACAAGGAGAGTCTTTGGAGAGCTGTAATCATAGGAATGCCAGGATCTGGCCTAGACTTAAAGATTAATTTTGGGTCAGGGTAGAGTTGCTCAAATTCAAAGACAAGTTTCATTCCTGACTCATCTCTACCCCTTACAACCTCCCATAACAAATGAACACAACAATCTGTTCATTTTACTCATTAAATATATTTTGAACCTGCCTCTTCCTCTCTACCCTTTGTGACACAATCCTGATATGAGCCACTATTATATGTCATTTGGATCTTTTTACTCGTTTTCTGACTTGTCTCTCAAGAAACCCTTTATCCCCAGATCCAATCTATACAATACCTAAAGGTCTTTTTAAACTAAAAATCTGATCATGTCACTCCTTTGTTTAAAACCATTCAATGCCTTCTTCTAGCACTGAAAACTGTGCGAAATAACCTACAAGGCCCAGAGAAATCTGGGTACATTCTACCTCTTCAGGTCTACTCTGTACCCCTGACCCCCTGGCTTCCCAAACTCCAGCCCTATCACACTTTGCTCAGCCCTTGTCTCCAACAATACTAATTCTGCCTAGATGTTATTCCTCCTGATTGGAACACCTCTTCCCAACATCACCTAGCAACATCAACCCTGCCTTCCCTTCAGCTTCAGACTGCTTTCTCCCTACCCCTCATCATGCCTGCAGTTACCTATCCAATGCTTATCTTCCTGGCTCAACTGGAAATATGCAGCGGCCTTGTCTTATTTGCTGGTGAAACCAACATTAATAGCATAGCACCTATCGTGTTGTAGATACTTAATGAGATTCTACCAAACAAACTTGCTGAATAAATGAATAAAGTGACTTGCTGTCACTGTACTACAGAGCCACAGAAAACATCATCTCCTGTCCTCAGAGAACTCACAGTCTAGCAGGTGAGAGAATAATGAACAAAACATGAGTCGATGTTTTATCCTCCTTCATAGGGACAAGCAGGGGCCATGATAACACAGAGGAAAGAGTGAGTAAAGAAAAATCTTTGTGGCAGAGGTGAAGTTTGAATTAGTTCTGAGAGGAAGCATTGAAGACACTGTAGTCAGGCTGTCAGAACCTCAGGAAAAGGAAGAAGCAGGCAAGGATGCGTGCAATATAAAATCATGAATCATTATTGTCCATGGACCCAATAATTGCATATTTGAGTATTTGATAGTGACATCAAAAAGCACAGAGAACAGTAATAGGTTTTATTTCCTTGAAGTAGAAATAAGTGTGAATTGTCCGTGCTGTGAAGCTGGTGTGCAGAGTGGTTACTTTGGTAGTTAGTGAGCCCAACTGTCTGCCAAACATCCTTATTGCTTAATGGTATCATGGTTTTAAAATGTATTGCCATACACACATTCATAGTTCAGTTTACTACATCTGATATGTTGTATATGGTATGTAGATACTCGAACATCTTACAGCATAGCTGTTAATTTGAAGAAGCCCAATCTAAATGTTAAAACATTTATCAGGTATACCTAGTAAATGTATACATGCTCATATATGTATAGTCTTATGCATAAAGTATATAGTAATAAAATAATCCTATTTTATACTATACTAAATATTTTTCACACATTGTCTAATATTATTTTCACAGTATTCCCCAAGATACTGATGTTAATATATCCACTATACAGATTAGGAAACTAAAGGTTTGATAGGTTAAGTAGCATGTCCTTTATCTGAGGGTTAGAACGAGGATTTTAACTCATGTTTTCCAGCTCCATAGCACATTCCCTAATATGATACACTGCCAAAATAAATATATTAGATATTTAATTATACACTGGAAATGAGGAAATATATTAAGGTTTTTCAATGCAATAAATGAGAGAGGCAATATTCTTGTGGCATGGTTATGGCAGATAACAATAATGGTCCTTAAGATTCAAAGGCAACCGCCTGCATGTGTGTTGAGTTTGTTGGTTTTACTTTCAGCAGGAAGCACAGCCTGCATGACTAAGCTTTCCCACTGCTGTGAGATTAATTTCAGGTATCAGAGGTGTACTGGTGTGCACTGATGGCTGGATCTAATGCTCCTGGAGGCACACCTATTTCTCATGTCATGCTCAGTCTTTTCTGTTGCCCTTCCATGTGTAAAATAGATTAAGCTTCCTTGGTGTATTGTCTTATAAAATATATAACAGAGAACTTAAAGTGAAATTGCTTTGTATTGCAGAATAAAGGACAAAAGCAAGATGAGAGTAATTGCAAATATGCATATTCTTTTCATGGTTGAGGGTTTATTCCTTTATTTAAAAAAACATTAAAACATCTGTCTCACTCTAGGCCCTTTATATAAGTTAATTCATCCTTGTAGATCAGAAGGCCAGTGATAATAGTGAAAGTACAGGGATGTTTAGGACTTCCCCAGTAAGTTTACAGCTCTCTTCTCTATATCTCTTATTCTTTGCTTTTCTACATATGCATTTCCATTGGTCCACTGCTCCCATTTAGCTCATGAGACATTCTACCGGACCTGTGATCTGATTGGTCCCTAGGTTAAGTGTAATTAAAGTTTTAGAGAAGGGCTTCACCACAGAACGCTTCTAGACTTAGTCTGACTGCTTATCCTGATGTTCTTCCCATCAGTGTGGGCAGATTGAACATATTAATAATGCTTGGTGCTAGGAATTGTGGTAATAAAAGAAGACACCTACATGAGAAGAGGCAGAGTTTGTTTAGTCACTTATTTTATCAGAGCTTTCTAAAGCAAGGGAATCAGCTATCATCACTGTGATAGCTGGAAACTCATAGGTAGGCAGGGGAGTGGAAAACATCATAGTGAACAGAAGAGAAGGGTTCAGGTATGCTTTGATTGGACGTGGTTGGCATAAAGAAGCTGCAGTTGCTTCTTCTAACTAGAAGGAGGGCATCCTCTATAATTGGTTTGGGGAGCATATTGGCTTTTTCTGGTTGGTCCTGAGGTGGAAGCAAAAATAAGGGAAGCTATAGTCATTGAACAAATCCTGTCTGTTCTGGGTCAGTTGCTGCAGAGCTTTTGGTTTGGTTTCCTGGGGCTGATTGCTGCCGAAATTAGGGATCAGAGTACAGGGGTGATATTGGTTGGAAAGTGGAACCTTTATGGGGAAGAATCAAGGGAGGATGCAGCCATCCCCGATTTTGAAGGATTAGTAGAAGTTTGCCAAATATCCAAACAAGGAAAGTGTGTCACAGAGAGAACAGCAGGCACAGAAGTGTAAAACAACAAGGCATGTGAAAGGGGCCTGACTATATTTTGGAGTTTTGAGAATATGACTAGGGCCAAGTCCCACAGAGCCTTATACACAAGGCAAAGGAGTTCAATTAACCCTAAAACAAATAAGGATCTAGAAGGAATTCACAGCCCAGGACTAGTGCTGTCAAGCTTGCTAAGTGACAAAATATGCTGGACAGGGGGTAGCTATTTGTGAAAAAGGCCTTGGGATATCTAGGACTCAATGACTAGAGAAAGAGTCAAGCAAAGGTCAGTAACAAGATATTGGGATGAACAATACCACGTCACGTAGAGAGGATTACAGGAGTACTGGAAACAAGATTTAAATTCAGGACATAGACAAGTCACGTGAGGTAGCAGCACACAGAAACAAGAACTTGCCCTCATGAGGCTATTTTAAAAGGCCTCAATATGAACCATTCTGCTCATACTGGTGAACATCTTTAAAGTGCTGCTCAGCACCTGACATGTAAGGCTGGGCCGGATGCACATTTTGAATATGTAAAACTCTTTGAAAGATAATTGTAATTGTCCCGTTTCTATTATTAGTGTTTATAATTACAACACAAGAAATCAGTATCCAGGGATAAATACATGATAAACAATATTAAAATGTTTAAATCCAGTAGTTTTAGATGAGAATTTCTTTTAGCTAATGACTCCAGGTGTCATGCTTTAGAACAAGGGTTTGCAAACTGTGGCCCGCAGGCAAAATCAGGCATGCACCATTTTTGAGAAGGTCTGTTGGAACACAGCAATACCCACTTATTTATGTATTGTTTATAGCTACTTTCAAACTACAACAGCAGGGCTGAATCATTGTAACAGAAATTGTATGGTCTGTAAAGCCTAAAATATTTGCTATCTGGGTTTTTTTTTTTTTTTTTCCTTTCCCCTCGAGATGGAGTCTTGCTTTGTCACCAAGCCTGGAGTGCAGTGGTGTGATCTTGGCTCACGGCAACCTCCGCCTCCCGGGTTCAAGCAGTTCTCCTGCCTCAGCCTCCAGAGTAGCTGGGATTACAGGCACCCGCCACCAGGCCCGGCTAATTTTTGTATTTTTAGTAGAGAAGGTGTTTCACCATGTTGGCCAGGCTGCTCTCAAACTCCTGACCTTGTGATCCACCTGGCTTGACCTCCCAAAGTGCTGGGATTACAGGTGTGAGCCACCGCGCCTGGCCTGCTATCCGGCTTTTTACAGAAAACGTTTCCCAGCCTTTGACTTAGAACCCAGGGCAAATGGAACAAAATATATTCTAATTACTTGACATGAAAATAAACATAATACGTGACTCCTATCTTATGTGCATAATCTTCATTGGAGGTAATATCAGTCCCATGGTGTAGATGAGGAAGGTGAGGTTCAGGGAGGTTAAGTAATATTTTGAGCAGAATATAACAAATATCAAACGTATGATTTTGACTTACGTCTAACTAGCTTCAAAGTCTTTCTACTTTGTCAGATTTTCCCAATTGTAACTTGCTATTTAATTTAGCAAACATTGAATATTTACTTCCCCGGTACCTGGTAGGTCACTGAGGTAGGTTCTATAGAGCTAACTTGCCTTCAAGAAACTAAAATCTAGTGAAAGAACCAGAGAACCAGACAAACATGGCAAAGCATGAACAAAGGCAGGCCATATAGGTTTATCAAGTGTAGAAGTTAAGCGCCTGCCTGTCTTGAAGTCCTGGGTCTACTACAGGTAAGCTGGGCAACAAATCTAGTTATGGAATGTTTCTGTCATGCAATTTTCATGTCCATTAGGAAAAGATGATAGTTACTTGTCTTATGAAGATTGTGAGGAATAATGCATTATTTTATTCAATGCATACTACTGAGCATCTACTAGAAACTGATATTGTCTGAGGCATTTGAAATACCTCATTGGACAAACCACCACTGCTTTGTAGAATTTATGATTGCCAGGGGAAGAGAAGCAATAAACTGTAAGCATTATTAATAAGTTAATTATATAAAATATTAGAAGAAAATGAGCACTGTTGAAAAAAGATAATAATTAAGTATAAGAGAGTATGGAAATCAGCAACATGGGGCAGTGGGGAAGGGGAACTGCAAATTAAATAAAGCCATCTGGGAGAGCCTCCTTGAGAAGGTGAGTTAGGAGTGAAGACTCAGAGAAGGTGAGAGAGTTGGCCATGTGCATTTCTGGCTGAGAGCACTCCCAGCATGAGGTGGTTGAGGTGAGCAGCAAAAGTCTAGGCCATGTCTGAGGTAATAACTGTGCTATCCAAGGAGAGGTAAGTGTGCCAGAGTGGTTAAGATGGAATAACCAAGGGAAAATAATTCAAAGATGAGGGATCAGAGGGGGTCTGGTTCATGTATGACTTTAGGGGTCTTGTGAGGACTTTGAATTTCAATCTATCTAGACATCCTTGCAAGGCTTTAAGAAGAAAAAGATATAACCCATTGAATATTTAGAATAATGCTTTACTTAGCTTATAATAAGTGCTCAAGAAATATTAATTGTAATTATTTTAATGTTGTTCATGTTGTGTGTATCCCTAATGAGGGATAGCTCATTGTCTATGAAGGAGGTCAGTGTACAAGATGAGACTGGAGAAGTAAATAGTTGCCAGATTATAATTAGTGTCACACCAAGAAGATTTTGTACTTGATTGTGAAGATAGTAAGAAACAGAAACAATTTGAGACCCATGGTCACAGGAAGACAATGAGTTTAGTCTTGAGCTAACCAATTTGGCCTATTTGTCTCCTTCCTAGGAGACTAAGATAGCTGAGATCTGCTGGGGTAGAATTGGAAAATCTACTTCATTATTTCTAGGCCAGATCCTGGCATTCCTATGATTACAGCTCTCCAAAGACTCTCCTTGTTTTGAGGGAAAAGTCCAGTTCCTTTGCATAGAAGGTAGACCACAATCAGAACCGAGCCTCAATGTAGAATTTTGGCCTTTTTATTTCACCACTGCCAAATTCTGTGAAGTTTCCCAAACGTGCTACATGGCTTATGCCTTCTGTATCTGCCCATAACTTTCTCTCTTTCCTAAACTTAAACTTTTTCATATAAACTCCTGAAAATTCCAAAATTCCTTCAAAACTCTCATCGGGTAACATTGCTTAAACCTTCTGTTAGCTTATTCCTTTCTATTGTTTTCTCTTTTTTATTTTATATAAGTTTATTTTACACCTATTACATTTCATTAGAATATTGTGGTTGCTGTTTTTGTTTATGTATTTTTAGCACAGATACTATAATCTTTTGACTTCAGCAGATTCAAAAATTTGTTTTATTCTTTCCAGGTCTAGATGAAATTAAATGTTAGGGTACAGAAAACTGAAACTAGAAAATTTTATACTTTTCCTTTTAGAGAGCCAAAGTTGCAAACACATACATACATACATAGATACACACACACACACACACACACACACACACACAGAGTGAGAGAGAGAGAGAGAGATTTTCTTTCAAAATTCAAAGGTATATTTCTAGCCTGAAGTAATCAACCTAGAAACAGAAAAAAAAATAGAAAGAAAAAAATAAGAATATATTAAGTTCAAGTCACTATGCTAGATCTCATTACTCAAATTATCTCATTTTATCTTTAGAATGATCCTGTGAGGCTAGTTACACTAGCTCTGTGCAATACTCAATCTCTACCTTTTGGAAACCCTAGGGATAAATTTAGGAACCTTTGCAGTGGTGCTCACAGGAAGCTGAAAGACATTGTTCATTGTTTTCCCCGGTGCAGACCCCAAATGACTTCTTCCTTGTTTGATATCCTATATTATAGAGAATGACATCATTAAGCTGGCACTCCATTTATGCTGGGTAAAGGGGGAACCATGTCAGAGATAAATTAGATTGCTGTGTTGTCACAATAAAGATTTCATCTTTCATTGTAAAGACTCCAAATTATTTCCAAAGCATTGGGGAAATGCACACAATGACGATAAACAAAAGGACAGCAAGAAAAATTCTTGGGATTCTCGGAGCCAGTTCTCAATGACCCTCTGCTTGCACAATGACGAATGTTCAAGCCTTCCTAGGGTATTATTTATCCATAACGTTTTGCATTTTTGTTGACGTTTTGGACTTGGGAATTATGACTTGTCACTTCTGGAGAAAGACCCACCTTTCAGGCACCCATTTTCTTCATCTACATTATTAAAGATAACAATACCAATTGGAAAGTATGATTGAGAAGCTTTAATGAGTTTAGGAATATAAAACTCTAGCATAATACATGACACAATCAATTATTTTTATTTATTTAACATTGGATTATTTCGAGTCTGAATTTTAAAAAGACTCTTGATATGCATACACACAACTAAGTAAAAAAGGGTATGCTAATTTTCACTACACTTTGGATGGAATTGGCTGCTAAACTGCAGCATTAACCTTTCACAGGACATGCTAGATTTATGGAGAAAGACCATCAGCAACAGGGCCCATGTCAGCAATAAATGACTTCTTTGCCGTGAACGAGCTAACTCAGTTTAGCTCAAATCCTAATAAAAAGTGTTTTTCCTTTTTTTTCCCCCAAGCGAACTTTTATGGAAAATTAGTAGCTGGAGAATATGACCAACAAAATCAGTATCATTATGAATGCTTTATAGTGAAATGTTCTTTACTTGCAGAAAATAAAAATGCCAAGGAAAATTATATGACATTTATAACCCTTTCACTTCAAAATGCATGAGAATTCCATATGGAAACATTAAAGGAACATGCTAATTCACCCTCTAAAGAACAAAGGAAAACCTGAATAAAAGGACAATGGCCTTCAGGCTTAGTGATAAGAAAAATTAACAGTGACCTGAATGTCAATTTTTTGGCCTATTTGTTCTTTGAGGTTTTTATTTTTTTCTTTGTAGTTGGTTAGAAACTGAATTATAGCTATGCCGATAACTCCCAAATTTATAATTCCAATCAAACAACAACTTCCCTTGAGTTTTAGACTCATTTCTGTCTTTTTCAAAAACTCCACTTGGGCATCACACAGCATTGTCAAAAATTTAACCCAGCACTTTTTCCCCAAAGCCTCGTTATCTTACTTCATTTAAAGTTACCACCAAGCCATATTCTGTTAGTGACGCTTGAGTTTCTTCACTCAACCATCCACATTCAATCACTACTCACACCCACTTACTTGATCCTTCTTCCTGAATATTCTCGAGTGGACCCACTTTCCTGCAACACCATGACTGCTAGTCTTCCAACACACCGCCTCTCACCTTGTCTACTGAAATAGTGTCTCACCTGCTCTCCTTGACTTCCCCTCAATTCACTCCATTCCATTTGTCACACTTGAGCCAATGCTCTTTCTAGAGTGTAAATGCAAATCTGTCCATAACTTCTCACTGTTTAAGTCCCTTCCAAATGTTCAAAGGAGAAATTGCAAACTCTTCTACATGGATACATAATCTTGCCCCTGCCAGTCTTTCAACCTCAGTTACTCTTTCCATCAACCTTTTTAGTTTTACCGTCATTGCCATTTCCTTTAACTGCCATATTAGCTCTCATATTTCAGGCTTTCCATTCACTATTCCTTCTATCTGAAGTACCCTTTACAGCCCCTCTACCACTATTCAATAATCACATTTCAACTTAGAGATTACTTTGTGAGGGAAGATTTCTCTGGTGCCACTCATGGCCAAGTGAATTAAATGCCCTTTTTGTAATACTTCCATAGAAATCTAACATTTCTCATAACATTTACAATTTTTTTAGGTTTAATTGTACATCTTCATTGGAATGCAAATTTTCTGTGGGCAAGAACATCTGATGACATAATCACATCAAGGCCTAGGATAGTATTAAGAACACAAAATATGCTCAATGTGTTAAATGTACTCATGTATGTACAGCCTGAAATTTAGCCTCCTACTGCACTGAGAAAGTTGAAACAGTCAGAAGAGAGCTGCCACCCATCCCAACACTACCTGTAAGAATCTACATTAATCTGTGCCTCTCTACTTGGATTCGCCTCAGTTAAGCACTAGGACACTCAATCAAGGACTTTGCCCCACATTCTCTTTCCCTTTTACTATTTGTTTTCACTGTCATTCCCAAGAGTAAATAAATGTTATTATTTCTTCTCAAAACAAACAAGAGCCTTCTTCCTTTTCTTACACTTTCTGTTCTACTTACTGGCACATTTCTTACCTATTTATAATTCTTTGAAGGAGTTGTCTGTATTTACTCTCTCTAATTCATCTCCTTCTTATTCTATATCAAACAGACCCCATTTGGTACATTTCATCATTCTCTCTTCCTTCAGAGATTTTCATTTCTAGTTTTACTTACTCCTCCTACCCTATGTTTAGTCCTCCTTCTCAGTTCCCTTTGCTGATTTTACTGCATCGAACTCAGCTCTAAAAGCTCGTATGCCTTACACCTAAGTCCTGACATCTGTCCACAAAATTGTAGAATGCTATGTAGGCCAACAATTCCTAAGATTGCATTTCTAGCCAAAAAGCCTTTTTTCTTCTGAAATCCAGACTTGTGTAGCCAGTGCTGACTCATTATTCCCAACAGAATACTTAAATCTCATGTCGATCTGCATGTACCAGAATTTCCTGTGCTTTACAAAAATGTATTACACACATGCTCTCCTCTGTCTCAAGTAATGACAACTCTATCCATCCAGGTGCTGAGGTTAAAATCTTTGGAGTCATTCTTAAGGTCTCTCCATCTCCACAGACAAAAGATGCTTTTGGCTCTATCTTTAAAATATGTATAGAATCTTACTACTTCTCACTGCTTCTACTGCTAGCACCTCTGACCAGGGCATCCTCATCTCTTACCTGAGTTACTGCATTAGATTCCTAACTGGTCTTCCTGCTGGTATATTGGTCCTGCTACAATCTATTCTCCTCACAGCAACTGCATGATACTTTAAAATATTAAGCTAGATTACCTCATTCCTCTTACCAAAACAAAAGTTAAAGTTTTTACTATAACCTTCAAGGCCATAGTATCTGGTCCCTGATTACCACTGACCTCATCACCTATTATTTGTCCTCCTTGCTCATTCTGTTTTAGTAACACTGGTCTCCTTGTTCTTGCTTGTTCATGATAGGCACATCCCTGCCTCAGAGTCGTCACACAGGCTGTTCCATATGCTTGGAACACTCTTCTGCCAGATTGCTATACATTTTCTACTTTCACCTCAAGTTCTTGTTCAAATATCATCTCTTTAAGGAATCCTCACACGGTTTTCCATAGTGCTTGTACAAGTTTACATTTCCACCAACCGTGTAAAAGTGTTCCCTTTTCACCACATCCACGCCAACATCTATTATTTTTTTATTTTTTGATTACGGCCATTCTTGTAGGAGTAAGGTGGTATTGCATTGCGGTTTTGATTTGCATTTCCCTGATAATTAGTGATGTTGAGCATTTTTCCATGCTTGTTGGCCATTTCCTCTTTTGAGAATTGTCTATTCATGTCCTTAGCCCACTTTTTGATGGGATTGTTCACTTTGTTCTTGCTTATTTGAGTTCTTTGTAAAATCTGGATATTAGTCCTTTGTTGGATGTATAGATTCTGAAGATTTTCCCCCACTCTGTGGGTTGTCTGTTAACTCTGCTGATGGTTTATTTTGCCGTGCAGAAGCTTTTTAGTTTAATTAAGTCCCATCTATTTATCTTTGTTTTTGTTGCATTTGCCTTTTGGTTCTTGGTTATGAAGTCTTTGCCTACACCAATGTCTACAAGGGTTTTTCCAATGTTATTTTCTAGAATTTGTATGGCTTCAGGTCTTTAAGTCTTTGATCCATCTTGAGTTGATTTTTGTGTAAGCTGAGAGATGAGGATCCAGTTTCATTCTTCTACATGTGGTTTGCTAATTAGCCCAGCACAATTTGTTGAATAGGGTGTCCTTTCCCCACTTTGTTTCTGTTTGCTTTGTTGAAGATCAGTTGGCTACATTTGATCCAGCAATCCCACTACTAGTTATCTACTTAGAGGAAAAGAAGTCATTATATGAACAAAACACTTGCACATGCATGTTTACAAGAGCACAATTTGCAATTGCAAAAGTATGGAACCAGCCCAAATACCCATCCGTCAATGAGGGGATAAAGAAAATCTGGTATATATACATATACTCCATGGAATACTACTCGGCCACAAAAAGGAATAAAATAATGCCATTTGCAGCAATCTGGATGGAATTGGAGACTATTATTCTAAGTGAAAAAACTCAGGAATGGAAAACCAAATATCATATATTCTTACTCATAAGTGGGAGCTAAGCTATGAGGATACAAAGGCACAAGAATAATACAATGGACTTTGGGGACTTGAGGGAAAGCATGGGAGCAGAGTGAGGGATAAAAGATTACACATTGGGTAAAGTGTATACTGCTTGGGTGACAGGTGCACCAAAATGTCACAAATCACCACTAAAGAATTTATTTATGTAACCAAACACCACATGTTCCCCAAAAACCTATTGAAATAAAAAATAAATTAAAAAAAAGAGTGAGTGAATTTCAAGAGGAGGAAAAACATTGAGAATACAGAATTAAAAAGTGGTTAGATTGAATTTAGAAAATTGTCATATGTAGTCTTATATCTGTCTATGAGCTGGCATTTATATTACTATTCCAGGTTTCTAAAAGTAAGTGCAATTTTAGAGTTTTGCGATGCTAAATAAACTGAAACATGCCATATATTTTGATATATTGTCCTTGAGAGGAGGCTGAGTGATACTGAGTGCAATTTTACATTATGATATCACATGGTTTGGCTGTGTCTCCACCCAAATCTCAACTTGAATTGTATCTCCCAGAATTCCCACGTGTAGTGGGAGGGATCCAGAGGGAGGCAACTGAATCATGAGGGCTGGTCTTTCCCATATTATTCTTGTTACAGTGAATAAGTCTCATGAGATCTGATGGGTTTATCAGGGGTTTCTGCTTTTGCTTCTTTCTCATTTTCTCTTGCCACTGCCATGTAAGAAGTACCTTTTGCCTCCCGCCATGATTCTGAGGCCTCCCCAGCCATGTGGAACTGTAAGTCTAATTAAGCTTCTTTTTCTTCTCAATCTCGAGTATGTCTTTATCAGGAGTATGAATTTGGACTAATACATGATATGATAGCAGAGTCAGTCTGCCAAACAGAAAAAAATACATTACTTTTAATATACATATATGTATACTTTTTTCAAAATCCAGTTGTATCATCCAATTAAATTATGATTTAAAGGTACCTGACAATTAATGGAGAAAAAAATTAAAACATTTACAATATTACAGTAATTTTGATATTATTATAAATATCAAAATGTGTAGTAATTAGGCATAAACCTGAAAAAAAAGCAAAACATCTGAAAACTACAACATATTGCTGAGATAACAAATAAATGGAATTCACAAGTCATAAATCTCAATATTGTTAAGATGTCTACTCTTCCCACATTGATCTATAACAGTCCTAATCAAATCATAGCTGGATTTCTTTTAGAAACTGACAAACTAAAATTCTGAAATTTACATAGATATGCAGAGGACCTACAATGGCAAGTTACTTTGAAAGGCAACAAATTTGGAGAACAGCACCTGGTCTCAAGACTTATAAAGTTATAGTAACTAAGAAAATGTAGTACTAATACAGCCACATACACGTATATCAGCTAAGTTTTAATAAAGTTCTGAGACGATTCATGGACATAAGGATAACATTTTGAACAAATGCTCCTGAAACAATGAGATAGCCCAGTGTGTGTTTGTTTGTATGAGTGTGGCTCACTACTTCACACCTGAGAGGTATGAGTGTGCACTACAAAGAGGAACTGGAAAGCTTTGGGTGTGTTGGATATGTTCACTATCTCCTTCATGGTGATTGTTTAATGGGCACATGTACATGTTAAATTCATCTCATTTACACTTTAAATATTGACAGTATGTTTGATATTCGTTAAACATAAAGCTGTAAAAAGTTATCAAAAAAGAAAAAACAAATATCATCTCAATAACGCTTACCCTGACTAGCGACTAGACATTTTTAAATTTCACTCCTTTCCTAAATTCATTTCATGTACTCAGTTTTATTTTTTGTAATCTCCATGGCATGTATTATCTTCCAGCGTAATATGTAGTTGGTGCACTAATGTCTTCTCCTCCCATTAGAATGTAAGCTTTTTAAAGGAAGTTGTTTTGGTTGTGTTTTTCACTGCTGTATTCCCTGTTTCACCTAGAATAATTCCTTGCACATGCTATATTCTCAATATACATATGTAGAAGAGATAATCATGCCTTTCACAATAAATATCCTTTCTTTTTAGTTTATTGAATTGAGAGCAAGGTGAGTAAAGGGCAATGCTTTTATTTGCTTTTTGTGAACCTGGGACATGCCTGTGCTTTTCATATGAGTGAAATAAACAGATTGATGTAAGTTAAAACAAAAACAACACTTAGCTCTGATTGGGTCAAGGCCCACTCCTTTGTTACATGGGAAAAATGAGACTGCACCTCAAACAAACTTACCGTCATAGCTTATTATAAAAGTAATTCTTCCTGCTTATCCAGTGCTTTGTAAATCTGAAGTGTTCAAAGAAAAAAATGCCATAATTCCACAATCCAGAAATACTATTAATATGGATGTATTTACCTGTAGTCTTTTTCCCCAAATACACACACAAGTGTAAATGTCTAAATGTATAATCACATAGTATGTATGATTTTTAATTATTTCTAGTTTATTTTAGTCGACACAACATATAATTTTTATACAAATTACAAAAACACAACTTAAGCAAAATCTCCCTTGACCACTAGCATGATTACTTTGCTACCTTCTGTTTTTCACGTTTTAGAATGCATCCTGTAAACCAGTTTACACAAGGTATGAACATAAATCTTCTCCATTTTAATAATTTAAAGCTATGCTCACATTCTGTCTCATTTTTTAATGTGGAACATCCATTACACTAGAGAGACACCATTCATTTTGGTGGCATTAAGAATGACGTGCCCATGGCTATTTGTCAGATTTGAAGGGAAGCAGGCAACCTTGGTAACTTGCCTGATCACTCTACTATCCTTATTTAGAGCAACCGTACACACAGGAGAAAAGTAATTGATTGGGACAACTATCTAGCCAGCCTTCCCACCTGCTCCCTCGTAACAGTCAACCAACTAACTAAACAACAAACAAATAGAAATGAACTCGCTATTCTCCTGAAAATAAAAACCATTGTTTTGTAAGTATCTCGATAATGGTAACAAAACCAATTTTACGTGAATGAGATAGATAATTTTACACATAGGAAGGTACAAAAAAATGCTTTTGCTTCAAGTATCTGGTTACTTGAAACAAAACATTTATTTTTGGTCTGATTGCCTATGTGTCCTTTCACACTTCTGGTGCGAAGCGAGACAAAATTGCCTTATTTCTCCATTTACCTTTCATTAGACTTACCATCAAGAATAGAATATTCATATATTTCCTTCAGTGTGAAAACTGTCCCCCCTTGACCCATTCCACAGACCACACCAAAACAGTGACCAATATCCAAAAAGTTGCTATTTGACCCGTGAGTTATTTTAAAACAGCACCTCCCTGTGTTGTTGTTGTTAAGGAATGCTTAATGGTGTTGTTAAGGAAGTTTCCAAACTCTTTCTTTCTTGGAATTATGCCATCCTTTCTGAGTTTCATTTTAGAAGTAAAAGTACAGCACTAATTTAAAATTTAATATTCAGATTACATTTAGAGGTATGCTTGTATATACAGAGTTTTATATACTATCTCCTTGAATAATGCAGTGGAAACATATTTTCATCAGATTTCTTTCTTAGATCAGTGCACAGCCTCTTCCCAACCACATCCTGATGTGGAGCTGGCCCATTTCCGTACTGACATCAAAGAAGTACCATCAGGCAATAGGAAACTTAGGGAAACTTAATATTTATTAGTTTGCAGTTTGTCTGAATATTAACTTGGCTGCATTGCATTCCAATGGGTCCTAGACACACAAACGAGATACAAATGGCTTCTGGCCACAGAACTGGAAATAAATTCCATTCCTTCCTTATTAAGCACATATTCTTTTTGCATTATTCATTTATTTAAAGTTATAGAACACACATAATGTGCCACACATTGTTGTAGGCTCTGGAGGTACAGAAGCTTGAGATAATGAATGAAAGTGCTTATCACACTGCTGGCATGTGGTTCATGTAGTTAAAGGTAAGAAAGTTTTTAACAAAACTACCCATGAAAAAAACAAAAGCTCAGCAAGATCAAGAGTAATATTCATGGTTACTAGCTAATTAATCAGATAATGAATAAATGGTGTGTTTCTAGAGTTACACTACCTGGGTTTAAATCCTGGATGCACCATACACTGGTTTACTATCTTCAGGACATTTATTAAAAGACTTCATGCCTCAGTTTGCTTATTGGTGCATGACAAAAATGATAGCTATCATACAGAATTGTGGTGAGGAATAAATGAGCTAACGTGTAAAACAGTAGAGTGCCAGGCACAAAAGTGCCCAACACGTGAACTATTTTTAATATCTACATTACATGCTATCTCATTCAACAATAACCCATGCTATTTTTAACATAGAGAAGCAAGCCACCAAACTAACTTGATTTTTAAAATAAAATGCTAAAGAGAACTTTTAGACCATTTGCAGGAAATAAATGAAACATCAGTTTAGTGGCTTTTAGTTTGCTAAGTTGATTTACGCTGTTGAATCAGGGGAGGGTGCTAGACAGACAAAGATGTTAAGTTTTCAAAATTGTGGTAAAATATATACAACAAAATTTACCATTTTAATCATTTTTAGGTGTGCAGTTTAGTGGCATCAAGTACATACACACTGTTGGACAGCCATCACCACCATTCTTCTCTAGAACTTTTTCATCTTTCCAAAGAGAAACGCTATACCCATTAAATAATATCTCTCCATTCTCCCCTCTTTCAAGCCCCTGACAACCATCATTCTATTTTCTGTGGCTATAAATTTGACCACTGTAGGTGCCTCATATAAATGGAATTATACAGTATTTGTCTTTTTGCAGCTGGCTGATTTCACTTTGCATAATGCCTTCAAGTTTCATCCATGTCATGGAGTGTGTCAGAATTTCATCTCTTAAGGCTACATAATATTCCATTGTATGAACACACCATTTTTTTTCTATTCATCTGTTGATGGACATTTGAGCTGATTCCACCTTTTGACTATTTTTAATGCTGCTAAGAATAGCAGTGCACAAGCATCTGTTCAAGATTCAGCTTTTGATTCTCTTGGGTATATACATTAAATGTTTCACTACGTTAAATGTAGAGAAACTTCTGATCAAATGGTAATTTTATGTTAGATTTGTTGGGGAACTGCCACATTATTTTCCACAGTGGCTACATCATTTTCCATTTTTACTAGCAATGCACAATGGTCCCAATCTCTTTATACTCTTGTCAACATTTGTTATTTTCTGGGGTTTTGTTGATGATAGTCATCTGACAGGTATGAAATGGTGTATCATTGCGGTTCTGATTTGCATTTAACTAATGATTAGTGTTATTAGTCCATTTTCACACTGCTGATGAAGACATATCTGAGACTGGGAAGAAAAAGAGGTTTCATTGGACTTACAGTTCCACATGGCTGGGGAGGCCTCAGAATCATGGCAGGAAGCAAAAGGCACTTCTTACATGGTGGCGGCAAGAGAAAATGAGGAAGGAGCAAATGTGGAAACCTCTGATAAACCCATCAGATCTCATGAGACTTATTCACTATAACAAGAATAACATGGGAAAGACCAGCCCTCATTATTCAATTACCTCCCTCTCGGTCCCTGCCGCAACTCGTGGGAATTCTAGGAAATGCAATTCAAGTTGACGTTTGGTAGGGACACAGCCAAGCCATATCACTCTGCCCCTGGCCCCTCCAATCTCATGTCCTCACACTTCAGAACAAACCATGCCTTCCCAATAGTCCCTCAAAGTCTTAACTCATTTCACCATTACCCCAATAACCCGAAAGTCTACAGTCCAAAGTCTCATCAAAGACAAGGCAAGCCCCTTCCATCTATAAGCCTGTAAAATCAAAAGCAAGCTAGTTACTTCTGAGATACAATGGGGGTACAGGTATTGAGTAAACACACCCACTCTAAATGGGAGAAATTGGCCAAAACAAAGAGGTTACATGGCCCATGCAAGTCTGAAATCCAGCAGGGAAGTCACATTTTTATTAAAGCTCCAAAATGATCTCCTTTGACTCCAGATCTTGCATCCAGGTTATGCTGATGCAAGAGGTGGGTTCTCATGGTCTTGGGAAGCTCTGCCACTGTGACTTTGCAGGGTACAGCCTCCCTCCTGGCTGCTTTCACAGACTGGCATTGAGTGTCTGTGGCTTTTCCAGGAGTGTGGTGCAAGCTGTTGGTGGATCTACCATTCCGGGGTCTGGAGGATGGTGGCCCTCTTCTCACAGCTCCACTAAGCAGCACCCCACTAGGGACTCTGTGTAGGGGCTCTGATCCAACATTTCCCTTCTGCACTGCCCTAGCAGAGGTTCTCCATGAAGGCCCTACCCCTGCAGCAAACTTTTGCCTGGGCATTCAGGCATTTCCGTACATCTTCTGAAATCTAGATGGAGGTTCCCAAACCTCAATTCTTGACTTCTGTGCACCTGCAGGCTCAACACCATGTGGAAGCTGCCAAGGCTTGAGGCTTCCACCCTCTGAAGCCACAGCCTGAGTTGTACATTCGTCCCTTTCAGCCATGGCTGGGGCAGCTGGGACACAGAGCACCAAGGCCCCATGCTGCACACAGCACAGGGACCCTGGGCCCAGCCTACTTTTTCCTCCTGGGCCTCTGGGCCTGTGATAGGAGGGGCTGCTGTGAGGATCGTTGACATGGCCTGGAGACATTTTCCCCATGGTTTTGGGGATTAACATTAGGGTACTTGCTATTTATGCAAATTTCTGTAGCCAACTTGAATTTTTCCTCAGAAAATGGGTTTTTCTTTTCTAATGCATAGTCAAGCTGCACATTTTCCAAACTTGTATGCTCTGCTTCCCTTATAAAACTGAATGCCTTTACCAGTACCCAAGTCACCTCTTAAATACTTTGGTACCTAGAAATTTCTTCAGCCAGATACCCTAAATAATCTCTCTCAGGTTCAAAGTTCCATAAATGTCTAGGCCAAGGGCAAAATGCCACCAGTCTCTTTCTTAAAACATAGCAAGAGTCACCTTTGCTCCAGTTCCCAACAAGTCCCTCATCCCCATCTGAGACCACCTCAGCCTGGACCTTATTGTCCATATCACTATCAGAATTTTGGGCAAAGCCATTCAACAAGCCTCTAGGAAGTTCCAAACTATCCAACATTTTCCTGTCTTCTTCTGAGCCCTTCAAACTGTTCCAACCTCTGCCTGTTACCCAGTTCCAAAGTCGCTTTCACATTTTCAGGTATCTTTTCAGCAGCACCCCACTCTACTGGTAACAATTTACTGTATTAGTCTGTATTCACGCTGCTGATAAAGACATACCTGAGACTGGGAAGAAAAGAGGTTAAATCGGACTTACTGTTCCACATGGCTGGGGAGGCCTCAGAATCATGGCGGGAGGCAAAAGGCACTTCTTACATGGTGGTGGCAAGAGAAAATGAGGAAGAAGAAAAGCAGAAACCCCTGATACACCCATCAGGTCTCGTGAGACTTATTCACTTTAACAAGAATGACATGGGAAAGACTGGTCCCCATGATTCAATTACCTCCCCTGAGTCCCTCCTGCAACACATGGGAATTCTGGGAGATACAATTCAAGATGAGATTTGGTGGGGACACAGCCAAACCATAGCAATTAGTGATCCTAGGCATCTTTTCATGTGCTTATTGACCATCTGTATATCTTCCTTGGAGAAATGTCTATTCAAGTCCTTTGCCCATTTTAAAATTAGGTTGCCTTTTCATGACTGAATTGTAAGTTCTGTGCACTCAATACAGATTAATCAACAGATTGCACTTCTTAGTAAAAGCTGTGGAATAAATGTTTAAATGTAAATAAGTAAATAAATGTGTTTTATCTACATCTTAGTATGAATGAAAGAAAGGAAAATGTATAACTTGTTTCCTTTTAAAGCAGACAAAATGAAGCTGTATACATTTTGATAGACCCTGAATATAATTACATACACAAATCCTTCACTTCATTTTCTACTGGGCTCTACTGATTATCTTTGTCAGATCTCAATCTCCAAATTTTGTCTATATATGTCATTGATTATGTCCATTGCCTATGACCCTGTGTGTATATAATTTACAGTTTAAACACTACATACATGCTGGTAATATTTCCCAACTATAAAATGGATTGTTCAGGACATGGTCAACACCTTCTCCTGAGGTAATGTAGCTTAAATATTACTTCATTGGTTCTTATAGCTGCACAAAGGACATTTAACGAATCTATTTTTTTCCTAAAACGATGTAAATTTATTTTCCTTCATCAAAACAACTACATATATGAATCCAACATCACCATATCTCATCATGATTAAATATACATTGGGGCCTTTCTAGAAACTACAGTTGTGATTACATGATCAGAGCACCCTCCTCTGTATGTAATGACAGCTAGCATGTGTTGATGCAAACAGCATGCACTGGAAAGCTTTTTAGTAGGATGGAGTTAGGCATCTATCTCTCACCTCATGTCCTATCTCCACCATTTGCTATATGTTATACAAAGGATTTAGCCTCTTCAAGATTTAATTTCCTTTTTACAAAATGAAGATTTTGAAACTTATAATATTGTTATGAGGAGTAAATTATAGATTTAAACATATTCAACAACAGAGGCACAACAAATATTAGCTACCACTTCTGACTTTTCACCTACACTTGAAACCTTGTTATAAGAGTTAGCACATACCTCCTGGTACCAAAACAACAATGCAGACCAAACTTGAGTATATTAGGGTGTCAGGACTATGGTACTTCACAGGATAACAATTTGTGCTCTTTGTGATTAGTAATGAGGGACTTCATGCAAGAAGCGAAAGAGCCAGTGCTGACCAGATATCCTGATCCAAGACCCTTGTGATACACATGAAGTGGCCATGGATCTAATTCCTACAGTCCCACTGCTTAGGGTTATCAATAGGGTGACAACCCTCTCTAATTTGCCTGATAATCCCAGTGGACACCTGCTCTCCCAGTGCATTTATTCACAGAAACACTTGTAACTCTCAAGACTGTCCTGATTATTTCAAGAAAATAGAAAAAGAAAAGAAAGTAGACCCAACATAAACAGAAAGAAATAGTAAAAATAAAATTGAGAATAGGAATACAACTTAAAAACAACAAAACCAAAAAATTATCTTTAAAAATATCAGTGATATTGATAAACCTCTAGCAAGACAGAGAAGACAAAAGACACAAATCACTAATAGCAGGAATAAACTGGATATACACTACAAATTCTGCAGCCACTATGAACAAATTAATGCTCATAAATTCAGCAACTCAAAATAAATTGACCAATTCCATGAAACATAATCAAAATTCAATCAAGATTAAATACATAGCCTGTTCTATAATGGTACTATAACCACTAAATAAATGTGTAATTAAAAAGCTCCCCCCAAAAAAATCTCCAGGTCCAAATGGAATCACTCACAAATTTTACCAAATATTAAAAGAAGAATTACGACCAATTTTAATCAGTTGTTTTTAGAATTAGAGGAGGAAGAAACAGTTCCTGTTACCTTGACACCAAAACTAGAAAAAGTAAAAAAAAAAAAAAAAGAAAAGAAAAGAAAAGAAAGCTACAAAACAAAATCTTCGGTGGCTCACGCCTGTAATCCCAGCACTTTGGGAGGCCAAGGTAGGAGGATCATGAGGTCCGGCGTTCAAGACCAGCCTGACCAACATGGTAAAACCCCGTCTCTACTAAAAATACAAAAATTAGCCGGGTGTGGTGGTACATGCCTGTAATCCCAGCTACTCAGGAGGCTGAGACAGGAGAATCTCTTGAATTTGGGAGGCGGAGGTTGCAGTGAACTGAAATCTCACCACTGCAGGCTAGCCTGGGTGACAGAGCAAGACTCCATCTCAAAAAAACAAAAAAGAAAAGTAACTTATAGATTTAATGCTATCCCCATCAAGCTACCAATGACTTTCTTCACACAATTAGAAAAAACTAATTTAAATTTTATATGGAACCAAAAAAGAGCCCACATAGCCAAGACAACTCTGAGCAAAAAGAACAAAGCTGGATGCATCATGCTACCTGACTTCAAACTATACTACAAAGCTACAGTAACCAAAACAGCATGGTACTGGTACCAAAACAGAGATATAGACCAATGGAACAGAACAGAGCCCTCAGAAATAACACCACACATCTACAACCATCAGATCATTGACAAACCTGACCAAAAAAAGAAATGGGGGAAGGAGTCCCTATTTAATAAATGGTGCTGGGAAAACCGCCTAGCCATATGTAGAAAGCTGAAACTGGATCCCTTCCTTACACCTTATACAAAAATTAATTCAAGATGGATTAAAGACTTAAATATTAGATCTAAAACCATAAAAACCCTAGAAGAAAACATAGGCAATAGCATTCAGGACATAGGCATGGGCAAGGACTTCATGTCCAAAACACCAAAAGCAATGGCAACAAAAGCCAAAATAGACAAATGGGATCTAATTAAACTAAAGAACTTCTGCCCAGCAAAAGGAACTACCATCAGAGTGAACAGGCAACCTACAGAATGGGAGAAAATTTTTGCAATCTACTCATCTGACAAAGGGCTAATATCCAGAATCTACAAAGAACTTAAACAAATTTACAAGAAAAAAATCAAACAACCCCATCAAAAGTGGGCAAAGGATATGAACAGACACTTCTCAAAAGAAGACATTTATGCAGCCAACAGACACATGAAAAAATGCTCATCATCACTCGTCATCAAAGAAATGCAAATCAAAACCACAAGAGATACCATCTCATGCCAGTTAGAATGGCGATCATTAAAAAGTCAGGAAACAACAGGTGCTGGAGAGGATGTGGAGAAATAGGAACATTTTTACACTGTTGGTGGGAGTGTAAACTAGTTCAACCATTGTGGAGGACAGTGTGGCGATTCCTCAAGCATCTAGAACTAGAAATACCATTTGACCCAGCCATCCCATTACTGGGTATATATCCAAAGGATTATAAATCATGCTACTATAAAGATACATGCACACATGTGTTTATTGCAGCACTATTCACAATAGCAAAGACTTGAAACCAACTCAAATGTCCATCAATGATAGACTGGATTAAGAAAACGTGGCACATACATACCATGGAATACTATGCAGCCATAAAAAAGATGAGTTCATGTCCTTTGAAGGGACATGGATGAAGCAGAAAACCATCATTCTTAGCAAACTATCGCAAGGACAGAAAACTAAACACCACATGTTCTCACTCATAGGTGGGAACTGAACAATGAGAACACTTGGACACAAGGCGGGGAACATCACACTCTGGGGCCTGTCATGGGGTTGGGGGAGAGGGGGAGGGATAGCATTAGGAGAAATACCTAATATAAATGACAAGTTAATGGGTGCAGCACATCAACATGGCACATGTATACCTATGTAACAAACCTGCACATTGTGCACATGTACCCTAGAACTTAAAGTATAATTTAAAAAAAATCTTATATGAACATAGAAAGCAAAATTCCAACAAAATATTAGCCAATCAAGTTCAGCAATGTATAAAAATGATTATACACCATGACCAAAAGAGATTTATTTCATTGGTTCTTCATCTTATGGCTGCACAAAAGACATTTAGAAATACCTCATCTTATTCTGAAACAATTTAAATGTATTTATTATTACAGTCTGCAAGGCTTGTCCCACATTCAAAAAGCAATCAATGGAATTCATTGTATGGATAGGCTGAAAAACAACAACAAAAAAATCTTCTCGTTATGTCAGTTAACACCAAAAAAAGCATTTGGCAAAATCCAACACTCACTTATTATAAAAACTCTCAGCACACTGAAAATAGAGAACTTCGTAAACTTGATTTTTTAAAAATCCACAAGATATCTATAAGCTAATAGGATACTTAATATTGAAAGACAATGTTTTCCCTTTGAGATGGGGAACAGTGCAAACCTATTCACTCTCACTACTATTATTCTAAATAGTGCTGAAAATTCTAGGCAACACAATAGGCAAGAAAAAGAAATAAAGATTTGAAAAAAATAAAACTGTTCTTGTTTGCAGATGACATGATTATTTACATAGAAAAACCCCAGGGATATACAAAAATACTCCAGTAATGAGTACAGCGAGGTTCCAGGATCTTACAAGATCAATACAAAAAAACTAACAGGATTTCTATATACTAAGATTGAACATGTAGAAACTGAAATTTAAAAGACATTACTATTTACAAGCACATAAAAAATTAAATACCTAGATTTAAATCTAACTAAACATGTATACGATCTGTATGCTGAAAATTTTAAAATGCTGACAGAAATCAGAAAAGAAATGCATTGTGTTTGTGAATAGGAAAACTCAGCATAGTAAGATATCAATTCTTCTCAAACTATTCATAGTTATGACTCTTATCAAGATATCAGTATGTTTTCTTGCAGACATAGGTAACTTATCATAAAATTCATATGGAAAGGCACAGGCCCCACAATAGCTAAAAGCATCTTGAAAAAGAAGAATGAAGTAAGAGAAATAATTCTATCTCATATTCAGACCTACTATATAGCTACAGTTATTAAGTCAGTGTGGTTAAGGAGGGGTAAATACATAGGTCAATATCGTAGCATAGAGAACCCAAAATAGACCCACCAAAATATGCACAATTGTATTTTTACAAAACTGTATAAGCACTTCAATGAAGAAAGGACAGCTTTTTATTTTTATAATATTTTTATTTTTTTTTATTATACTTTAAGTTTTAGGGTACATGTGCACATTGTGCAGGTTAGTTACATATGTATACATGTGCCATGCTGGTGCGCTGCACCCACTAACTCATCATCTAGCATTAGGTATATCTCCCGATGCTATCCCTCCCCCCTCCCCCCACCCCACAACAGTCCCCAGAGTGTGATATTCCCCTTCCTGTGTCCATGTGATCTCATTGTTCAGTTCCCACCTATGAGTGAGAATATGCGGTGTTTGGTTTTTTGTTCTTGCGATAGTTTACTGAGAATGATGATTTCCAATTTCATCCATGTCCCTACAAAGGACATGAACTCATCATTTTTTATAGCTGCATAGTATTCCATGGTGTATATGTGCCACATTTTCTTAATCCAGTCTATCATTGTTGGACATTTGGGTTGGTTCCAAGTCTTTGCTATTGAGAATAATGCCGCAATAAACATACGTGTGCATGTGTCTTTACAGCAGCATGATTTATAGTCCTTTGGGTATATACCCACTAATGGGATGGCTGGGTCAAACGGTATTTCCAGTTCTAGATCCCTGAGGAAGCGCCACACTGACTTCCACAATGGTTGAACTAGTTTACAGTCCCACCAACAGTGTAAAAGTGTTCCTATTTCTCCACATCCTCTCCAGCACCTGTTGTTTCCTGACTTTTTAATGATTGCCATTCTAACTGGTGTGAGATGGTATCTCATTGTGGTTTTGATTTGCATTTCTCTGACGGGCAGTGATGATGAGCATTTTTTCATGTGTTTTTTGGCTGCATAAATGTCTTCTTTTGAGAAGTGTCTGTTCATGTCCTTCGCCCACTTTTTGATGGGGTTGTTTGTTTTTTTCTTGTAAATTTGTTTGAGTTCATTGTAGATTCTGGATATTAGCCCTTTGTCAGATGAGTAGGTTGTGAAAATTTTCTCCCATTTTGTAGGTTGCCTGTTCACTCTGGTGGTAGTTTCTTTTGCTGTGCAGAAGCTCTTTAGTTTAATTAGATCCCACCATTTGTCTATTTTGGCTTTTGGTGCCATTGCTTTTGGTGTTTTAGACATGAAGTCCTTGCCCATGCCTATGTCCTGAATGGTAATGCCTAGGTTTTCTTCTAGGGTTTTTATGGTTTTAGGTCTAACGTTTAAGTCTTTAATCCATCTTGAATTGATTTTTGTATAAGGTGTAAGGAAGGGATCCAGTTTCAGCTTTCTACATATGGCTAGCCAGTTTTCCCAGCACCATTTATTAAATAGGGAATCCTTTCCCCATTGCTTGTTTTTCTCAGGTTTGTCAAACATCAGATAGTTGTAGACATGCAGCATTATTTCTGAGGGCTCTTTTCTGTTCCATTGATCTATATCTCTGTTTTGGTACCAGTACCATGCTGTTTTGGTTACTGCAGCCTTGTAGCATAGTTTGACGTCAGGTAGTGTGATGCCTCCAGCTTTGTTCTTTTGGCTTAGGATTGACTTGGTGATGCGGGCTCTTTTTTGGTTCCATATGAACTTTAAAGTAGTTTTTTCCAATTCTGTGAAGAAAGTCATTGGTAGCTTGATGGGTATGGCATTGAATCTGTAAATTACCTTGGGCAGTATGGCCATTTTCACGATATTGATTCTTCCTACTCATGAGCATCAAATGTTCTTCCATTTGTTTGTATCCTCTTTTATTTCCTTGAGCAGTGGTTTAGACCAATATCTTTGATGAACATTGATGCAAAAATCCTCAATAAAATACTGGCAAAACGAATCCAGCAGCACATCAAAAAGCTTATCCACCATGATCAAGTGGGCTTCATCCCTGGGATGCAAGGCTGGTTCAATATATGCAAATCAATAAATGTAGTCCAGCATATAAACAGAGCCAAAGACAAAAACCACATGATTATCTCAATAGATGCAGAAAAAGGCTTTGACAAAATTCAACAACCCTTCATGCTAAAAACTCTCAATAAATTAGGTATTGATGGGATGTATTTCAAAATAATAAGAGCTATCTATGACAAACCCACAGCCAATATCATACTGAATGGGCAAAAACTGGAAGCATTCCCTTTGAAAACTGGCACAAGACAGGGATGCCCTCTCTCACCACTCCTATTCAACATAGTGTTGGAAGTTCTGGCCAGGGCAATTAGGCAGGAGAAGAAAATAAAGGGTATTTAGTTAGGAAAAGAGGAAGTCAAATTGTCCCTGTTTGCAGACGACATGACTGTATATCTAGAAAACCCCATTGTCTCAGCCCAAAATCTCCTTAAGCTGATAAGCAACTTCAGCAAAGTCTCAGGATACAAAATCAATGTACAAAAATCACAAGCATTCTTATACACCAATAGGAGACAAACAGAGAGCCAAATCATGAGTGAACTCCCACTCACAATTGCTTCAAAGAGAATAAAATACCTAGGAATCCAACTTACAAGGGATGTGAAGGACCTTTATTTTTATTTTTGTTTGTTTGTTTTTTGAGACAGAGTCTTGCTCTGTCGCCCAGGCTGGAGAGCAGTGGCGCGATCTCGGCTCACTGTAAGCTCCGCCTCCTGGGTTCATGCCATTCTCCTGCCTCAGCCTCCCGAGTAGCTGGGACTACAGGTGCCTGCCACCACGCCCAGCTAATTTTTTGTATTTTTTTAGTAGAGACGGGGTTTCACCGTGTCAGCCAGGATGGTGTGGATCTTCTGACCTCGTGATCCGCCCGCCTCGGCCTCCCGCGGGAGCCACCGCGCCTGGCCGAAAGGACAGCCTTTTAAACAAATGGTGCTGAAGGAGTTAAATTATAGAAAAGGGGAACAATTAGTGGGTAACAGGAATCAGGAACAGAGAAATGGAGTCGGGGTGGGTGAGAATGGCTATAAAAGGCAACATGAGGAATCTTTGTCATGACAGAACTGCATCATAACTGTTATCAATGCCAACTCCATGGTTGTGATATTGTACTATGATGTTACAAGATGTTACTGATGGGGGAAATAGGTAAGGGATGTGGATTATCTCTCTGTATGATTTATTCCAATTTCATGTGAATCTAAATACATCGTAAATAAAAATTTTAGTTAAACAAATATCTTCATGTGACTGATAAACAGAACTGTCTAGCTTTCATCAGGAGAAACTCTAGGAATATCAGAATCTATATATATATATATTTTTTTTTTTTTTTGAGATGCAATCTCACTCTGTCACCAGGCTGGAGTGCAGTGGCATGATCTTGGCTCACTGCAACCTCTGCCTCCTGGGTTCAAGCGATTGTCCTGCCTCAGCCTCCGGAGTAGCTGGGACTATAAGCCTGTGCCGCCACGCCCGGCTAATTTTTGTATTTTTAGTAGAGACGGGGTTTCTCCATGTTGGCCAAGAAGGTCTCGATCTCCTGACCTTGTGATCCTCCCACTTTGGCCTCCCAAAGTGCTGGGATTACAGGCATGAGCCATCGTGCCTGGCCCAGAATCTATATTCTTTATAAAAATCAATGTAAAAATATATGGCTAATAATGATAGCTAAAGTGTATTGAGTACTATGTACTGATCACTTTTCTAGGTACATTGCATGTGTGATTCTGTCTTTACAAGTCTGTGAAGTAAGCATCATGAATATCTTTACCTAATGTGAGAGAATGTTAAAACATAATGAGGTGGCTGGGCACAGTGGTTCACACCTGTAATCCCAGCACTTTGGGAGGCCGAGGTGGGCGGGTCACTTGAGGTCAGGAGTTCGAAACCAGCCTGGCCAACATAGTGAAACCCCATCTCTACTAAAGAAAAGAAAAAAAAAAGTACAAAAATTAGCAGTGCATGGTGCTGCATGCCTGTAGTCCCAGGTACTTGGGAAGGTGAGGCAGGAGAATCGCTTGAACCTGGGAGACGGAAGGCTATAGTGAGCTGCTGAGATCACACCACTGCACTCCAGCCTGAGGGACAGAGTGAGACTCCATCCAAAAACAAAAACAAAAAAACATAATAAGGCTTGGTACTGTGTTCAACAAAAACAAAAAAAAACATAATAGGGCTTGGTACTTTGTTCAAGGTACATATGTTCAAGGTATTGTTAAGGTTAAACCCAGGAAGGCTGATAACAGTGTCTATGCTCCTAACACTTTGCATACTGCCTCCCAGTACAGAAGGCAATATGCTATATTGACCATGGTTCACCTTATTGAAAACTGATTTTAAATCAACATTATGGCCCTCCTCATGAAGTTCCAAGATAAAACCAAAAAAAAAAAAAAAAAAAACAGCTCACTTGATCATTAGTTGCCTAGCTAACCATGTAGGTAGACCTAGTAGAATATCTGAATAACAATTAAGATTGTAATGCTACAAAAAGTAAATAATAAGCAAATTTATCATTTGGCTTCAGGATTCACATTTCTGCCTCGGAAAACTACCAGTTATAAATGTTTGGTTTATTTTTTTTCTTAATAGTTTGACAGAATAGTTGCATCTTATGTTGATCAGTGCACTAATAACAGAAATCTAAAGCAGCTACAGAGTTTTGGAGACTGTGACAGGTACCTTGCCAACACCTAGCATAGGGACTCATTATAACAGGTTTTCATTTAATACATAAGCATATGAATTTATGGATGAATTAATAATTGTATGAAGCATCTAATATATCTAATATGTTCCAACTATTGTATAAGCACTGATATAAAAATGAATGAGACATAGTTTCTGGTAAACAGACATGTACATGGTTAATTGAGATAAAATGTGAAGTGTAGAAAGATTTCTTTAAAAAGTAAGTGTGTTAGTACAGTCACATAGGAAAGCAGATTTAGAACATCCAGGGTTTGTAGTGGATGGTAGTGGTAGAAGAAACTCTAAACAAAGATTTTTGAAAAGGCATAGCAATTTCCCAGAAAGGCAATAAAATAATCTTTCATTCATTTATTCATTCATAACATTCAGCAAATTTAGTGAATGAATACCATGAACGAACTATTACTTTTAGTTATTTTTTCCCTATCAACTTCAGTGCACTTAAAATGGGAATAAGCATGACACTGACACCAAATAAATCATTACTGGTTGGTTGATTTATGTGATATAATAAGAGTCATGGAATGGACCAAGCCTGCAATCATAGCTTGTACATTCTGTGTAGCCTTTGATCCTAACCTCAGCCAAAGATTATTCTCCATTCTTTTGTTTAGTGCTTACAATAATAAATTGACCTATGGACATTATAATTTTTACAGTGACTTATTATTAAAGAGTGCACTAATACTTCAGGCAAGCAGGACTGCTGAAGAATTATGTACCCATCTTCTATTCACTTAGCTTACAGACAGTGCATCATAAAAAAAGCATATAATCTTCCATTTGTTCTACTCAGGGTTCATACCTAAACCATGTATGTGCTTCATGGACGATTTTTTTTCAGAAAGAGTCCTGATCATATCCAAAATTTGACCTAATATATTGTCTTTAGTGTCATGCCACAGTATAATGAGTAATTCCACTGTATTTTACCCAGAGAAACTCTTTCATTTCCCTCTTAGAAATAGTTTTGTTCTGACCTGTTATTGGTCTGATTTACCATGGGATTTATTATTTCCTTATCAGACACTTTAGTAATTATTAAGATGTGTTGCTTATGAAAATGCTTTTTTAGAATTATCAATTGCTTTTAAATACACAATTTGATGAAGTAATTTACAGAGTAGATTCAACATCCTCATATAAAACAAAACAAAACAAACAAACCCAATGCAATACACAATGCCTTTCAAAAGGACACATGGGGTATTAGATTCCCAGATTCATAGCTTTCTTATATTCTTGTGAAGAAACTGAAGCAAAGCCAGGGATCCAGTTGCATTTTTTTTTTTTTTTACTGACATTATTCCAAGAAATCCTGAAGAAAAAGAAAGTTAAATTTTACAATACAAAATGATGGTAAGATGGGGTGGAGACACTGGTATTTCACCCTTTTGCATCTTGCCAATTCACTTGTCTACTGCACATAGATACATAAATCATCCAGTTCCTTCATTTCCCCTTCTAGTTCATCATCAGGCTGTAACTTCATTTGAAAAGCACTTTGTAGTTCTTAAAGGATAATTCTGCAAGTGCTGGATGATGTTTCATTCCAACAACAACAACAACAAAATTGAATTTTGGATGGCCTTTAGCATTCCACAAAACAGCCTCTAAGGAGCCCTTGGAATTATGGTATCTAAGTCTAAAGAGGAAACAGAACAAATTCAAATCGAGAATTTAGAAGTGAAACATGTTTGCTAGGCTTTTTCTCTCCTGACTTAGAACATTGTTTCCAAAAGGTTTAGTATTTTGCAGTCATGTCATACATAGTCATTCAAGAAACACGGTACTAGAAGACTGGGTGGATTCAAACAAGAATAATATAAATATCCTCATGAAACCAACAGTCTGGTATATGCAAAAACAGGGAGGAAATTTCTTGAGTTCTTAGTATATAGCTGTGGCTTTGGCCTATGTTTGCACACATCTTATTCAATCTTTACAACAATCCTGTAATATAGTTTATGTTACCTTCTTTTTAGAGAATAGGTTTTCATCTGGTTCATCAAATTTGCTACTGATGCAGATGTAAGACAACCTCATTACCACTGACCTGGTCAAAGCCACCATCACCTCTGGTCTTGTCCATTCAAATAGCTTCCTAATTGGTCTCCACATTTATTTTTGCCCCTTTCCAACCTGTTCTGCACTAAAAAGCCAGGGTAAGCCTTTGAAAACGTAAATGAGACCCTACTACTTCCCTATATGAAATGCTTCATTGGTTTCTCTCTTTAGACCAAATTTCTAACTCATCAATGGCTTACCGTGTAGCACTGAATGACAGGATCCTTATCTACTTCCAACCTCATCTTTTCCTTTACCCCCTCACCCCACCTTCCCACCCAACACACACACTTTTGCTCCTTTTGCTGTGCTCATGCTGGGCTCCTTTCAGTTCCTCACAAAAACTGACCTCATTCCAGTCATTCTAACCTCAGGACCTTTGTACAGATGTTTTTCCTTTGACCTCTCCCCAGTCCCAGCCCCCTCCCTACCCAACCCAGCCTGTCATATTCACCATTCTGTAGTGCTTGGTCTCAAGTGTCCCTCCTTAGGCCTTTTCTGATCATCCTATCTCAATTAGAGCCCTTTCGGTATGCTTCCATATACCAAAACCAAAAAACCATAACATGACTTTTTTCTTGGTATGTTTCACAATTTAAAAGATGTATTTGTATGATTTAATCTACTAGACTATAAACTTCTGATAGTAAAGTCCAGGTTGCTTGCGAACACTGTTACATCCAAGGTACCTGGCAGTACTTTGCCCATGGTAGACACTCAGGATTTTACTGTTTACCTAATGAATTCACTAACGTAAAGGGCTCTTTAAATTAGCTGCCACACTGGAAAAGCCTACAGAGCCTCAATAACAAATAGCATCATCACAGTCAATGTTAACCAAACCTTTATATTTCTCATGGTGTATTTAGTTACACACAAGTCTCCCAACTCTTAGGAGAACCCAATGAGGAATGCATTATCATCCATTTTCATTGATGAAACATATTTATAATGTTCAATTAAATTATCTAATCATACCTAATTAGTAGTTGAAATGGATTCAATATGAATAAGTTTTGCTTTTAAATCAGTACTTTTCCATGTCTAGTGATTGGTGGCTTTGTGATATTTGACTGTGTCGGTTCTTCTCCTTTGGTTCTGCTTATCTTTCTCACTGTGTCCTGGGAGGCTGATCTCTATGGGTTCTATTCCCAGGTTCCTTTGATCCTCTTTTTCCTGTTGTCCCTTCGGGTTCAGCCAATAAGAAGCACTTACAGGTCATAGGATCGGAGGAGGACATGTCAAAGCATTTATTCCCACCCCTGCTGCTTGTCTGGTCAGTTTTTATTGGGTGGCTTTCTTCTACAGCTACAGAGATCACTGGTAATATACTTTCCTCCCTCTTCCCCTTCAGGACTGTTTTACTCATGGTTCTCCAGAAAGACAGAAGTGGTAGGAGATATCTATCTATCTATCTATCCATCTATCTATATATATATATAGTCTCTGTGTCTACAATGAAAATGGATAGCATATTCCTTATTGAGTTCTTCTAAGAGTTAGGAAACATGTAATCACAATATCAGAAATATAGAGGTTTGATTAACATGGGCTAGGATGATATTTGTTACTGAGACTGGAGGTTTTTCTAGTGCTTGCAGCTAATTTAAAGAGACCTTCAAATTAGTGCACTTTAAAAATATTTTTCTTTTAATATTCAATTCCTTCATTGTATTTGAAAGTGATTAACACAAATATGTATTTGAAAGTGATTAAAACAATCACAATAGACACTCTTGGGAGCTTCACCTGTTATGTAAAATCAAGGATTTTCCAAATATTAACTGGAAGGTTTTAACAAATAACCCAATAGGTTTGCCTGCCAAGGAGCCTAATATTCAACTGTATGGCAGAAAGAAGTACAGTGGTTATGTAAACTGTCATAACCACTAACTTAGCACATGGAGTTACTCTGCTTACTTTTAGCGGATGATTCAACTACTGTTCCTCCTCGAGACCACAATATTAACTCCCCACCTTCGTAAGTTCCTTAACCACCCTCCCATTCTACCTCTAAACATACATCAAAACCAGAAGTGGTTTAGAAAGTAAATTACACGTGAGAGTTTCTAGGATTCTTAGGTTTTATAATTGCAGAGACATGGAGTTCATTTTGTTCTGCATGACTTTACAGGAGAGGCAGTATGTGTGAGATATTAATAAATTAGTATAGTAGGTAAACAAATACTGATTGTCTACCATGGGCAAAGCACTGCTAGATACCTGGTGTGTGTGTGTGTGATACACACACACACGAGGGGCAGGGAGAGGGAGGAAGGGAGAGAGACAGAGAGATGTGAGAGGGATTTATTAGGAAAATTGGCTCATATGATTATGGAGGCTAAGAAGTTCCACAAAGGGTCATCTGAACTGGAGAATCTGGAAAGCTGATGATGTGGCACAGTTCAAGTCCCAAGGCCTTACAAATAAATAAGCTGATGGCATAACTCTCATTTCAAGGCCAAAAGCCTAAGAACCTGGGGTGGTTGGGGTTGCGGGGGCGGGCTCTGGTGCAAATCCCAGAGTCCAAAAGCTGGAGAACCTAGCTTTCTGACATCCAAGGGCAGGAGAACATCCTGGCTCCAAAAGAGAGAGCGAAAGAATTTGCACTTCCTCTGCCTTTTTGTTCTCTCCAGGCCCCCAGCTGATTAAAGGGTGTCTGCCTGCACTAAGGGTGGAGCTTCTCCACTCAGTTCACCGACTCACGGGCCAATCTCTTCCGAGAAACACTCTCACAGATACACCTGGGGCAACCCAAGCATTAAAACAAAAATCAAAACCACCTGGGTTTCCCTTTTTAGCAGAAAAGGAACGGGCTGCGCGTCATCTGAAGGGCTGAGAATAAATAATGCTCTACCAGCTATTGCAATGTCCCTAAATGCAGTCAAGCTGAGGCCTCAAGTCAGCCATCACAAGCCTGAGGGTGGAAATGGCTTCCCATGGCTGCTCTCCTGGAGCTGCTGCTTTGCCCCCCCCGTGGCCTCCTTAACTATGAGCACCTGTCTCAAAATAGCCTCTTTATTGAACCATTGAACTCTCTTCCACTAAACCCTCAGATGGGCCATTCATTTCTACCTGAGACCATATAATTCCTAGTTAGTAGAAAACTTTTGTCTATTATTTCATAAATATTGGAAGGAAAAAAAAATAAGCGTTCCAGAATTTCCACCCAGTCTTTTATCTCCCTGACAATAATGACAATGAAGATAATATTTAATAAGCTTTTATACTTTTATGTGTAGCAAGCCTTGTGACAAGTGCTATTTTTCCATTATTTAATTAAATCTTCACAATTATTCTATGGTGCAGGTAGTATTATCCCAACTTTACATATGAGGCGATAGGCTCAGAGGCGTTATGTCATTTACCTGAAGCTGCAGACCTTCGCGGTGTTACAGCTCTTAAGGCGGCGCGTCTTGGAGTTGTTCGTTCCTCCCGGTGGGTTCGCGGTCTCCTGGCTTCAAGAGTGAAGCTGCTGACCTTCGTGGTGAGTGTTAAAGGCAGTGTGCACCCAAAGAGTGAGCAGCAGCAAGATTTATTGCAAAGAGCAAAAGAACAAAGCTTCCACACTGCGGAAAGGGACCCGAGCGGGTTGTCACTGCTAGCTTGGGCAGCCTGCTTTTATTCTCTTATCTGGCCCCACCCACATCCTGCTGATTAGTCCATTTTACAGAGAGCCGATTGGTCCATTTTACAGAGAGCTGATTGGTCCGTTTTGACAGGGTGCTGATTGGTGCATTTACAATCCCTGAGCACCACACAAAAGTTCTCCAGGTCCCCACTAGATTAGCTAGATACAGAGTGTGGACACAAACGTTCTCCAAGTCCCCACCAGAGCACCTAGATACAGAGTGTCAGTCAGTGCATTCCCAAACCCTGAGCTAGACACAGGGTGCTGATTGGTGTGTTTACAAACCTTGAGCTAGATACAGAGTGCTGATTGGTGTATTTACAATCTCTTAGCTAGACATAAAGGTTCTCCAAGTCCCCACCAGACTCAGGAGCCCAGCTGGCTTCACCCAGTGGATCCTGCACTGGGGCCTCAGGTGGAGCTGCCTGCCAGTCTCGTACTGTGTGCCCGCACTCCTCAGCCCTTGGGTGGTCGATAGGATTGGGTGCTGTGGAGCAGGGGGTGGCACTCGTCGGGGAGTCTCAGGCCATGCAGGAGCCCACAGTGGGGGGTAGGCTCAGGCATGGCGAGCTGCAGGTCCCAAGCCCTGCCCCATGGGGAGGCAGCTAAGGCCTGGTGAGAAGTCAAGCACAGCAGCTGCTGGCCCAGGTGCTAAGCCCCTCACTGCCTGGGGCCGGTGGGACCGGCTGGCCACTCCGAGTGCGGGGCCCACTGAGCCCACGCCCACCCGGAACTCGCGCTGGCCTGCAGGCGCCTGGGCTGAAGCGCGGCCAGAGTGGGTGCCAAGGCCGAGGAGGCGCCAAGAGCGAGAGAGGGCTGTGAGGGCTGCCAGCACGCTGTCACCTCTCAATAATGCTTACTGGCATTTATTTAATGCTTATGATGTGCCAGCCACCATGCTGGCCCTTTACATACATTATCATATTTGCCCTAATCTACAAAGCAGATATTTTCATATGAGAAATTGAGATTTCAGAACTGAAATATCTTGTCTACACACACAAAATATAATGGAGCCAGGACTAAAACCCAAGTGTGTCTCACTTCATACTCCTAACTTTGTAAGCACTATAATATATTGTTTTTCTGAAAGCCTTCCCTATGACCATGCCTACCAAAGAGAAACAAGGCATGACAGGACAGTGGGGAGGGATAGAATTATAATTTTAAAAAGGTAGTGGAGGAAAGTTTTAGTATCTGACCCTATAACTTAGCTAAAAATTTTGTAGCAGATAGGACCAAGGAAAAAAACATGCAGAAAGGTCCAGGGAAATAGTAAGTGACCAATTTCAGAGTTAGTAAATCTTGATTTTAAATTCTAGCTCAGCTACCAACTGGCTGCATAACTTCAGACAGGTTACTACTATTCTCTGAACCTTAATTTAGTCATCTATAAAATAGAGATAGTGAAATCACTTTGCGTTACTGAGAAGTTTAAAGATAATATGTGCAAGGGAACTTACGGTTTCCAACACATGGCAGAGACTTTGAAAAGCTAGCAATTGTTACAAAACTCTTCAGTTAGTCCATCGCAATGTTTGTTTCTCAGAATACTCCTGCAATTGAGGGCTCATAATTTGCATTTTATAGAGAAACCCGAGGCTTACAAAATGTTAATAATTTCGTTAAGATCATGTAGAGCTGGGGTGAAAACGTATAGATGTCAACTAACAAGTCAATATATATTTTTTTCCATCACACATTGTTTTAATTGTCCAACCAAATGAGGAAGACCTGTTGATCAGAAAAACCATATATTTTCCTGGCTTGGAGTCTGAGAAATATTGGCCGTAAGAGCAATTAAATGACAGCAGTAAGCAAAGTAACTACCAGTGTCCTAGATGACAGTTTTATGAGAAAGATGAATGCCTTCCTTGTATGACTGGTTCTTAAATCAGAGGTTCATAGTAAAAACCAAGGGTATGGTGGAAAATAAAGTTATTTAAGCTAATCTTGGCAGGTGATTGGGAATGGAGCAGATGATGTGAACCAGACATGTAGCCTTCTTGTGGTGTCACTTAATACAAGGTTAAAGCTGGGAACCTCTTGAGGAGTGAATTCCTATAAAATATCCACTCTGGGTTCAGTTCTATAGTGGGGCTTTTAACTAGAGTATGACAAATAGTGGATAGTTTTGATGCGTATTTCTTTAATTCCAAGACAATGAACAGTTTACAGAGACTTTAATATAGGAATCTGGCCTTTTATGTGGGATATGGCACATATTTTTCTAGGTATTTGGCAAGAATTTGGAGAAATAACAACAAACTTCATCAGATTTGGGGATAAGTAAATAGCCCTAAAGCATGTCCTATCAGTCATGACCTATAAGTGAGAGAATCATTCCCAATTTCATGACTGCCAATCAGTTACATCCAAATGTTAAACATGGAATTAATTCTTCCTTCATTTCCTTAATCTGGGGTCTTTGTATATGGTTTCTCCCTTGCTCACTTAGCTTGGTACTATGTTGCTTCCTTAACCTTTATTTTTCATTTCTGTATAATGGAGACAATACTAGCCCTCCCTTAGTCATGGTGAATATCAAATGGGATGGCTTATATAAAGTCCTTTGAAGCATGCAAAATGTAAAGAGCTGAATTATATTAAGTTGATAGGTATTTCCTAAATGAGAGTCAAAATTTCTAAAGTGTTTCACAATCTATTGCTGTTTTTAGTGATAAATGGTAGAATACCACACCCTAAATGTGTGCATATATTTATGCACATACACCTTATTGGGAAATGTGAACTAATGTTTGCCAATACCTATCATGAACTAGGCATTTTTAAATTCTCTATCTCATTTAATATTCACAACAATCCTCTGAGAGATCAGTGCCTTCCTTTTTCTGTTAAGAGGGCCTATCACATTCCCAGGATGGGGCAGCTGGCATTTCCAAACAAGTTCTTTGAAGAAATGATATATGAACTCAGACTAATTGGTACCCGAGTACTCTCTTCATCCATCCATTGATGAGGCTACTTTCTCATATTTATAGAATAAAAAGTATATAGTTAGAGGGGATCCATGTCCCTCTTGTGGAATGCATACATATGGCATGTGCAGCAGAGGCCTATGATCCCAATTTATCTTGTCATGTGAATAAAAATAGATTTGGAAACCCAGGTCTTATCTTCTTAGTGAACATTGTTTTGTAAGTGTCCTGAATGAAGCCTGTTCCTCAAACTGTGTTGTGATGTATTATGGAATTTATCCTGAACATTAATGCAAACCAGGTGGTGACTGTGAAGCCACCTAGCCAGCCAGTTTGGTGTTAGGCAAATGGCATTGCTCAGTGGCACTAGTGGCTGAATTAAACAGATTGAAAATACATTGTAAAGCATAGGAAAGGGTTTCTTAAATGACAGTGATATGATGGGATGAATATTATACTGAATTAAAAAAGAATCCAAGAAGTAGGATTACAAAATAGCATAATGGAGTTATTAGATTAATGCTTCTTCATCTTTCAAACTTCCAAATTAGTAAGCACAACAAAGACCAAGAGACCATGCTTGGTGATGAATAAAGCAACATGAATGCAAAGAAGAAATTTTAAAGTGGCTCACAATATTCTCAAAATTAACAGAAATTTATGTTCTTATATTGGGAATCATAAAAAGAGGATAAAATAGGATGACATAAGATATATCAAATATAATGATGGTAAAATGTTAACTGCACCAGTAATAATAATTTGATTATACTCATCAAATATATTAACAATCTGGAAATAATTTGATAAACTGAATATATATTTGAAGCTATATAGTAATTATAACATAATTATTATACTATACCTTCTCACCAGGTTAGTAATTACTTATGCCTGGCAATGCCCAGCATTGGCAAGATTATAAAGCAACAATAACTTATACTAGTAGAGGTAAAATTAATACAACTATTTTAGAATATCATTTTCTATCATCATGTAATTTTGAGGATCCACATACCCTACAATCAGCAATTTAAACTCTATGGAGTTATAGCATAGAAAATATATTGCTTATGTATACTAGAGACAAATACACAAATGTTCATACAACAGCATTGTTATTAAAAAGAGTGAGGATAAATAGTCCAAATGCCTATCAACAGGAAAATGGTTAAATTACATATAGTTTATTCTTATACTAATATACTATTACAGAATTAATAATGAGTGAACTATAGCCATATGCTTCAACATATATGAATGTCATATACCTAATGCTGGATGAAAAAAAGTGGAGACAAATAATTTTGGTGGACACATTTACAAAAAGTTTCTTATGGATACATACATATGTAGTAAATCTAAAATAAAATGTCACTAAACGATGATTCAGAAGAACACCTTTATGCACACAAATGAGAAAACCTAGAGGAAATGGATATATATTCCCGGAAACATAAAACTTCCCAAGACTGAAACAGGAAGAACTAGAAATCATGAACAAACCAATAATGAGTAATGGACTTCAAATTATTCTACAAGGCTATAGAAACTAAAAGAGCATGGTGCTGGTACAAAAATAGAAAGAGATCAATAGAACATAACAGAGAAACCAGAAATAAGGCCACATACCTACAACCAACTGATTTTTAATAAAGTTGACAAAAATGAACAATGGGGAAAAGGACACCCTATTCAATAAATAGTGCTGGGATAATTGGCTAGCCATATGCAGAGGAATGGAACTGGACCTCTCTCACCATATACAAAATTTAACTTAAGATAGATTAAAGACTTAAATGTAAGACCTGAAAATGTACATGACAGAAATTATAAAAGTCTTATTAATAGGAGAAAACCTAGGAAAAACTTTTCTGGACATCAGCCTAGGCAAATAATTTATGACAGGTACCCCAAAAACAAATGCAACAGAAACAACAATAGACAAATGGGACTTGATTAAACTAAAAGTCCTCTTCACAGCAATAGAAATAATCAAAAAGTAAATAGAAAACCTACAGAATGAGAGAAAACAAATTATGCCTCTGACAAAGGGCTAATATCCACAATCTATAAGAAACTCAAAGAACTCAACTCAAGGAGAAACAATCCCATTAAAAACTGGTCTAAGGACAAGAACAGATATTTCTCAAAAAATGGAATACAGGTAGCCAAGAAACACATGAAAAGATTCTCGACATCAGTAATTACCAGAGAAATGCAAATTAAAAGCACATTGAGATATTTTACACCAGTCATAATGGCTATTACTAAAAGCCAAAAATAGCAGATGTTGGTGTGGACGTGGAGAAACGGGGATGCTTGTATACTGTTGGTGGAAATGTAGATTGGTTCAACTTCTATGGAAACAATATGGAGATATTTTAAGGAACTAAAAGTAGAGCTACCATTCAACCCAGTAATCCCACTGCTGGGTATCTACCCAAAGGAAAAATAAATCATTATATAAAAAACGCACCTTCACTCGTATGCTTATGGCAGCATTATTCACCATGGCAATCATGGAACTAAACCTAGTGTCCATCAATGGTTGATTGGATAAAGAAAATGTGTTATATAGACACCATGGAATACTATGCAGCCATAAAAAATAATGCATTCCTGTCCTTTGCAGCAACATGGATGGAGCTGGAGGCCATTATCCAAAGTACACTAACTCAGAAGCAGAAAATCAAATATTGCGTGTTCTCACATATAAATGAGGACTAAGCTACGGGTACACAAAAGTATACAGAGTAGTATAAGGGATATTGGAGACTCAGAAGTGGGGAGGTAGGAAGGGGATAAAGGTTGAAAGATTATCTACTGGATTCAATGTTCAATGTTTGAGTGACAGAGACACTAAAAGCCAAATCCCCACCATTAGGCAATATACCCATGTAACACACATTCATGTATGCCCCTTAAATCTAGCATTAAAACATAAAAATTAAATAAAAAAAGAAGTGTCCTTCAACAGTACTGTTAAAGTTTTACTTATTAAAGCATGTGACATGTAAACAGAAAAGGTCTTCTGGACATGTGAAGTATATTTTATATGAAAATATTAAAAAACCTCATAGTTTCAAAGTATATGGTTCAGAATAAGGGTATATGTATGCATAAATGGATGCATGTAGACTAAGGTTGGAAGGAACAATGCAAAACAAATCATGAGGAAGTAATTGCTGATACATACACTACATACACTATATATATGTGTGTATATATATGTGTGTATATATATATGTGTGTGTGTATATATATATATACATATATATATAGGCTAGAGTGCATTGGTGCGATCTCGGCTCACTGCAACCTCCGCCTTCTGGGTTCAAGTGATTCTCCTGTCTCAGCCTCCTGAGTAGCTGAGATTACAGGCACATGCCACCACGCCTGGCTAATTTTTGTATTTTTTAGTAGAGACGAGGTTTCATCACGTTGGCCAAGCATGGTCTTGATCTCCTGACCTCGTGATCCAGCCTTGGCCTCCCAAAGTGCTGGGATTACAGGCGTGAGCCACTGCGCCTAGCCCATTAATAATATTTTTAAAGTAAAAATGTGATTAGGGAAACTAATAATATGGTCTTAATTATTTATCTTATAGGCAAGCATTCCTTTACTCCTTGTTTAAAAATTAAAAAACAATAGTCTGTTGTATAGTCAAGTTGATAGCTGTAAAATAAAACTAACAATTAAAAATGATTTTGAAACTATTAGCTTTCAATGGCATTTCTTAGCAATAATTATTCATTTGAACAACATAGCATGTGTTCAACTTCAATGCATAGATGACTGCATGGAATTCCCAAGAACCTAAACAAAGGCATTTCTGGGAAGATTGTTTCTTAAACTAAATCCTAAGATTATGCTGTTTATTGAAGGTTCCTTCTTGAGTATGAATGAGAAGTAATTTTAATGAACAATTTTCACGAATTGGAAAGTCGAGCTCAATCACATTTGTATAAAGTCATTTGTAATACAGCACACACAACAGATAAAGCTAACTCTCAGTACATGGTGTATTGATTTTACAGCTGTGAATGCACATTGTACTATTTAGAGAAAATGTTTGTTCCAGCATCTGCCTATTCCATGGGAATATGTGTCTACGAACTAAATGCTAAGATAAGAGCTCCTCTAATTTGTTTACATTACGTGGTATTTACCCTGGAGTGTGGTAACTGTTAAAGAAAACAAAATCCACATGACATGGAACAATTTCCTTATTAAATGAAAGTGTGTACGTGCATGCACATGCATACACACACATATACATACAGAAAGATAAGGAAAGGGAGAAAAAGAGATTCAGGTTGAGAGTGGGAACCTAGTACCACCAGGTACTGTACTAGACACTGGGAATATGAAAGCTAAAAAGTGTAGTCCCTGCATTATAAGATGAGAGAATAATGAGATGGACTGTCAAGTTCAATGTAATAAGAATAGCGCTCTAATGTTGATATGCAAATGGTGCAGAGAGGGAAACAAATCTTCAGAGGATGACCAATTGGAGTCAAGGACGGAGTCACAGGAGAGGAGGTGCTGAGCCTTGAAGAAAGTTGTTGAGAGAATGAGAGGAGGAAACACATTCGAAGCCAAATATGCATTAGTACTGAAGTCTGAAAGAAGAAGAAGACTTTAGAGAAACAGGCGTCATTTACTGAGCATGGAGCAGGGGTACATAAGACGCAGGCAATGAGATTGGAGAAGCAAAAAAGGACAGGATCAAAAATAGCCTTGAATCCAGGAAGTTTTGAGTAGAGGATTAGCATATGCGTTTTTAATTATGGATGTATTTCTCTGGCAAGATTAAATGGGTCACAGTTTTAAGAGCATCATAAAATGTCTAAAAGACTGTTAAAAATCACTGAATAGGAATGGTGATATATGTATGTTATTATAGATGCTTGAAGGTGAAAAAAAATGACATAAAAATAAAGAAATACTGGCCGGGCGCGGTGTAATCCCAGCACTTTGGGAGGCCGAGGCGGGTGGATCACGAGGTTAGGAAATCAAGACCATCCTGGCTAACACGGTGAAACCCCGTCTCTACTAAAAATACAAAAAATTAGCCGGGCGCGGTGGCGGGTGCCTGTAGTCCCAGCTACTCGGGAGGCTGAGGCAGGAGAATGGCGTGAACCCGGGAGATGGAGCTTGCAGTAAGCGGAGATCGCAACACTGCACTCCAGCCTGGGCGACAGAGCGAGACTCCGTCTCAAAAAAGAAAGAAAGAAAGAAAGAAAGGAAGAAAGAAAGAAAGAAAGAAAGAAAGAAAGAAAGAAAGAAAGAAAGAAAGAAAGAAAGAAAGAAAGAAAGAAAGAAAGAAAGAAAGAAAGAAAGAAAGAAAGAGACAGAGAGAGAGAGAGAGAGAGAGAGAAAGAAAGAAAGAAAGAAAGAAAGACCAGAATCTCTTTAAGGAAACAGTCATCAGATGATTGAGGGTCCAGGACTCTGGATGTGGGGTATGATAAGCAGTCCCTCCTGAATGTTACAATAACCGCATTTATTATGTGTTCCCTTATATACTAGGCAGTCTGCTATATATTTTATACTCATTATTTTGTTTAATCTTTCCAACACATCTAAGAGTAGGTCTTTTGAGTTCTGTTTTAGAGATGAGAACTCTGAGAATTAAAGAGGTTAAATAATTCACCCCAAGTCATACAATTAATAAATGCAACAGTGTTTCACTTCAAAGCCTGAGCGTCTGCCTATAAAAAAGGACACAAAGCCCACATCACTGGTCTAAAGATGAGCAGGTCACCTCCCAACATTAGGCCAAGAGACTATGGAAACACTACTGCTATCATAAAATTAACAAAGCAAATAAAAAAGTAACTACTGCTATCATATCGAAGTAAAACTGCTATCGTATCAAAGTAAAAAAAAAAAAAGTAACTACTACTATAATAAAATTAAGCCAGAGAATAAAATTAGACCTAAAGATCAAGAAGAATGACTACTCCAGAGAAACAGGAAGCGCCAAAGAGCTATAGAGTATGCCTTTATCTTCTGCCTAGGGTTGGCCAGTGATTCATCCAGGAAATGAACGGCAGGCTGGCTGAAAGACTATGAACAATAACAATGCCACCAGTGACAATCGCAACAACAGCCTGTTTATTGGATACAAACTATGTGCAGGGTCTATGCCAAACTTTTCATACACGAGCTAACCGGTGCTTAAACAAGCTAAGTGACGTATCACTGTTCTTTCACGTCCAAAACTCATTATTCTTTTATGCAGAACTGCTTTCCACATCTGACTGAGTGAAGGAAATATCTGAATGACCACATACAGTTGGTGTTTAAATTGCCCTATCAATTTTTTTTTTATTATACTTTAAGTTTTAGGGTACATGTGCACAGTGTACAGGTTAGTTACATATGTATACATGTGCCATGCTGGTGCGCTGCACCCACTAACTCGTCATCTAGCATTAGGTATATCTCCCGATGCTATCCCTCCCCCCTCCCCCCACCCCACCACAGTCCCCAGAGTGTGATATTCCCCTTCCTGTGTCCATGTGATCTCATTGTTCAATTCCCACCTATGAGTGAGAATATGCGGTGTTTAGTTTTTTGTTCTTGCGATAGTTTACTGAGAATGATTTCCAATTTCATCCATGTCCCTACAAAGGACATGAACTCATCATTTTTTATGGCTGCGTAGTATTCCATGGTGTATATGTGCCACATTTTCTTAATCCAGTCTATCATTGTGGGACATTTGGGTTGGTTCCAAGTCTTTGCTATTGTGAATAATGCCTCAATAAACATACGTGTGCATGTGTCTTTATAGCAGCATGATTCATAGTCCTTTGGGTATATACCCAGTAATGGGATGGCTGGGTCAAATGGTATTTCTAGTTCTAGATCCCTGAGGAATCGCCACACTGAATTCCACAATGGTTGAACTAGTTTACAGTCCCACCAACAGTGTAAAAGTTTTCCTATTTCTCCACATCCTCTCCAGCACCTGTTGTTTCCTGACTTTTTAATGATTGCCATTCTAACTGGTGTGAGATGGTATCTCATTGTGGTTTTGATTTGCATTTCTCTGATGGCCAGTGATGATGAGCATTTTTTCATGTGTTTTTTGGCTGCATAAATGTCTTCTTTTGAGAAGTGTCTGTTCATGTCCTTCTCCCACTTTTTGATGGGGTTGTTTGTTTTTTTCTTGTAAATTTGTTTGAGTTCATTGTAGATTGTGGATATTAGCCCTTTGTCAGATGAGTAGGTTGTGAAAATTTTCTCCCATTTTGTAGGTTGCCTGTTCACTCTGGTGGTAGTTTCTTTGGCTGTGCAGAAGCTCTTTAGTTTAATTAGATCCCATTTGTCAATTTTGTCTTTTGTTGCCATTGCTTTTGGTGTTTTGGACATGAAGTCCTTGCCCATGCCTATGTCCTGAATGGTAATGCCTAGGTTTTCTTCTAGGGTTTTTATGGTTTTAGGTCTAACATTTAAGTCTTTAATCCATCTTGAATTGATTTTTGTATAAGGTGTAAGGAAGGGATCCAGTTTCAGCTTTCTACATATGGCTAGCCAGTTTTCCCAGCACCATTTATTAAATAGGGAATCCTTTCCCCATTGCTTGTTTTTCTCAGGTTTGTCAAAGATCAGATAGTTGTAGATATGCAGCGTTATTTCTGAGGGCTCTGTTCTGTTCCATTGATCTATATCTCTGTTTTGGTACCAGTACCATGCTGTTTTGGTTACTGTAGCCTTGTAGTATTTACTCTAACAACTTTTCTGCTTCAATCATGCCTTTCTGCCTTATAGCTGTAATTCAGAGGATGAATTTGAGGTGGGGTTTGACTCTCAACCAGTCAGTTTTGTTGGAGAGTTAGATAAGAGTACCCATAATCACTTCAGTAATAAGTGGGATGTTTTCAAGTTGAAAAATTCTCATGTAGTTTGTGGGTGTGTGAGGTATTCCGAAAAATCCTGTTACTAAATTGATGTAAATGCATTTTCCCCAGGTGCCCTAAGATACTCAGATGAGCACAGCTACAAAAATTTAAATTCACAAAATAGATACATTAAGGAAGACTTATTCTCAAGAGAAAAAGCAATTTTCATACTAAACAAGGATTTCTTGAACTAGCAAATTCCCCCTAGTGTATTTCAATTTGATTTCCATTTACAATAGAAAAAAAAATCAATTTGCAAGCAATTTTGCAGTGACACATCTATTGCATAAAGCAAAATACCGTAGTATCACTTTTTAGAGTTTTGAACAAACTCCTGTATAGAAAACACTTTGAAAACCACACACAAATAATGCTTCCTGGTGGATGACACACGAAGCAACCTTAAAGTCTCTAGTTGGTTCTGTCGATAATAAACTCACCAGTACTGAGAGTTCAGTGCATGCCAGCAAAATTCCCAAATTAATTCCTCCTGATGAACTCCCACTTTTCTAATACGTTTTTTCTCACTGCTATTTTGTGGAAACAAGTTGACACTGGCTTCTTACACATAGAACATTCTAGACTTCCAGCTGTTTGGCTGATAAGGAGATTACTAAGTAAACTTCTAACTCAGCAAGATGGTATGTGGCCATGTTTGACTTGAAATATTTTCAGCTTTTTGGATTAACAAAGAGCTGAAAATTTTCAGGATAAGAAGAACTTTCCCCTCCCTACTTTTCAGGATAGTGTTTATTCAGAGAAATAAACTTTCGGACTTCTGATTGGCGTCTCTGAAGAAAGCAGCATCTGATCAACTGCATGGAGAACATGAAATTTATCGAAAGTATAAATAGTAACTATGGCTGCAAAAGAAATTGGCTTTTGTCCTTGCAAGGATGAGTAAACTGGAAAAGATTTTTACATAAACTAAATCTCTTACATAGATGTTCCTTCCCTGAAAACCTTTAGCACTAAGATAATGACAACCTTGTAAGTGATGGTTAGATGTAAGTCACTCTAAATAGCCTCTTAACACCAAAGGAATACAGGGACAGAGGTTAATACTTAGGGTAAAATTTTAAAAATCTGTGTTTTTGAGTCTTGAGTTATCCCAAAAGGGCCACCTGCATGACCTTGGGCCTTCCTTAACCTCCCAGAGACTCTCTCTTCTTATACACAAAATAAAAACCAAAGTATCTACCTCCTGTGGCATATAATCCGTAAGGTATTAGCTATTGTATAATCAGTGATAACATCTCTTGTCATTCAACTCGTTCATAAAACAACTATCTAACTATAAGTATCCCTGCAAATATTTCCTTTGCTTTTAGAAAATTTTAGCAACTACAAATTACATTCTAATAGCTACTACAAATCAGCCAGATTACACCATTAATTGGCAGTTCACTGTTCTGCACCAGTATGTGCAGAATTCTCAGGAAGGAAGCATGACAATGTTTTGGTTTACTCAAGAGATGTAATACTCTGGTTACCAAAATAGCCCCAATTCTTCACCTGTTCTTGTAGCTATGGCCTTTGCCATGTGTTCTTGTATCTCTTTCTATCGAGACGTAGAATGTATTTTCCCAATTCTTTTAATTGGGTTGACCTTCTGACCTTCTGAGCTAATAATTAACAGAAAGCAATGGAAATGATGATTGGCCAAGCTCTAAGCTTAGGCCTCAAGAGACTTTGAACATTTCTGTTCCTTTGTTGCCCAGACACTGTCATTAAGAATATGCCTGGACTAGCCTACTGAAGGATGAGATAACACATGAGGGAAAGCCCACTTGTATTAGTCAAAGCCCTTCTAGACAAGCTATACCAGTTGAGCCCCAAACATCTGAGAGAATCTAGATAGATCATCATATCTGCCTATCCAACCCACATCTGACTAAAGATGCACAAGTGAGCTTAGCTGATTACAGAAAGAATTGATTCATTTCACATGAACAATATGGGTCACAAGTTTCAAGGAGATCGTAGCATGGAAGGACAAAAAGGCAAACAAATAAATTGCTGAGGTCAGAATAATGATTCATACGATTGAGGCAAAATACAAACTGTAATAGGCCATAGAAGAGAAAGAGGTCAAGACATCCAAGGGGTTCACAGATTTTTTTCATGTAGTGCTATTGGAACCAAGTCTGGAAAGGAAGAAAAATGCTGGGAAATGTGGCTCATTCCCAAATATAAGGACATTTTCTGACACTAAAATCATTTTTTTTTTTGAGATGGAATCTCACTCTGTCGCCCAGGCTGGGGTGCAGTGGCGTGATCTCGGCTCACTGCAACCTCCACCCCCAGGGTTCAAGTGACTCTCCTGCCTCAGCCTCCTGAGTAGCTGAGCTTACAGGTGCATGCCACCATGCCTGGCTAATTTTTGTATTTTTAGTGGAGACAGGGTTTCACCATGTTGGTCAGGCTGGTCTCAAACTCCTGACCTCGTGATCCGCCTACTTTGGCTTCCCAAAGTGCTGGGATTACAGGTGTGAGCCACCACGCCCAGCCAACATTTTTACTTTATACTATGTGGAAGATCGGTGGTTAGAAGAGCTATAAACAAATTTGCATTTTAGAAAGAATACTCTGGTGATGAGGTGGGGGCATACTTAGAAAGGGAAGAAGCGGGGAGGCCTGCTGAAACCTATTCTAACAAGCATTCATCTAAAAATATTGAAGTTCTCACCAAAAGAAACATTCGATGGGAATGAAGAGGAAGAGCTGGATTTGAGAAATATTAGACAGTAGTGCAATTGTTGCTTTTGGTTGCAGTGCAGAAGCACCCAGCATAAAAGTGGCATATTGCAGAACTGATAAGTCTCTTACTCCAACTGCTTTTTAGAAACCCACTGTGTGATTTTGATGGAAGGATTTAGCCCCTGAACTTCTAGAGGATGTTGGTCTCTGAAAAGGAGAAAATACAGGAGTTCCTGTGGATCCAGGTGATTGGGTTTAACTCTGCTTTGTAGCCTGCATTTAAGCCCTTTGTAGATAAAATTGGAGCAGATGCTAGAAGCTGCACACACTCACAGGTGGCTTCCTGGGACACTGCCTGAATCTGGCTCTAAAGTTACAGCAACTTTTCAGGACATGTATGATTTCCTGAAATCAGTGATGGAGTGACCATTTAATACTTTCTCTTTTGTCATTCTACCTTTCTTTTTTACCTATTAAGCTCTAACTGAAACTTGTTTCAGGATAGTGGGCTGTGAAAGTGGGCTAAGAAGATTAAAGAGCTCTATAAAGAAGGTATAAAATACGACTCTGACAATTTGATGTTGATCGTTTGTGATGTGTGAAATTAAATCCTTATCCAATGTGCCTAGACAATACAATTAGTCTTGGGTGTCTATATTAAGAAACCTTTTTTATTAAATCAATGCAGGAGCTCCACCGAGCCCACGCCCACCTGGAACTCCCGCTGGCCCGCAAGAATCGCGCGCAGCCCCGGTTCCCGCTAGCGCCCCTCCCTCCACACCTCGAGGCCGAGGTGGGCGGATCATAAGGTCAGGAGTTTGAGACCAGCCTGACCAATATGGTGAAACCCCATCTCTACTAAAAATATAAAACTTAGCTAGGTGTGGTGGTGTGTGCCTGTAATCCCAGCTACTCAGGAGGTTGACACAGGAGAATCGCTTAAACCTGGGAGGCGGAGGTTGCAGTGAGCCAAGATCATGCCACTGCACTCCAGCCTGGGCAACAGAGCGAGATTTCATCTCAAAAATTAAAAAAAAAAATCATAATAATAATAAAAGAGGTTAAGGTTAACCAAGATCACCTACCAGTAAGTGGCCAAGTAAGGAGTAGAAACCAGAGAGTGGGGCTTATGGAGGGTATGTTCCCATCCACTGGGCTACCTGCCTATGCCCACATGGAAGAGCTCATCACCTAGTAACCGGACCCTCTCCTCTATTGCAACACATCTTATTCATCCTTTGTAATACAGCCTATGGCAAGCCTTCTGTGACACGTCATCAAATCCCACAGAGATAGTTAATGTCTCTCCTGCATGTTTCTAAATACAAAAAGAATAGTGTCATAGGGTTATGAGCATACACTCTCATGCTAGCCTACCTGACTTCAGTTTCCTGCCTCTGGTGCTTAATGGGCGCAAAAGCTTAAGTACAGTGCTTAACCTCTGTGGGCTGCCATTACGCATTACCCTGCACCACCACCTAAACCACTGGTAGATTGCCACCATTCTGAAACAATAGGGGACTTAGAAAGGAATCCCATTACCATATTAAAATGGTTTGATATGTTCACAGCTAGATTCTCAACCTCTATAAGAACACCTGTAATATGGAAATATCTCAATAAATACTATTCACTGAAGGAATGCAATCCTTTCATGATCTTTGTGATCCTAGTCATCCACTAATCTTTCCAGTAACACTGGATGATTTGATATTATTTTAACATACTCTAGATTTTTATATATCTACATTATTGCTTGTATTATTATTTCTACTTATAGTAAAGAACCACAATAAATCCCTTATTTCAAACATATATGGCCAGATCTACGGAGGAATTCATGGGGGCACAAGAGAAGTATTTTATAGAGATAAAGCAATGTAATTGCATGTTATATAGTGTCTTCAGCAGGGCCTAAGACAACATTCTTTTACCAAAATAAATTCATATTTCTGGAGCACAACATATAAATATTCACGCTAAGTAAAATTAATGAAGGCTCTAGCATGTATTTTAGGTTTTGCTACCATTTGAGCTATGAAAATGCTTTTAGTTTTAAGAGATTTTTGGACTTTGTAATTACACACCAAGGGCCTGTATTATTGCTACCCATGACCTCCATTGGTCTAAATTGTACCCATACCTCAAAAGTAAGATCTGATAACACCTTCCCAGAAAATCTGTCCTGTCTTCTGCAGCTGAAATTAACTTTCCTCTCCTCTACCCTCACCATTCTCAAGTCCTTTAACAGAGTGATGACATTTTCAGCCTTGTGCTTAATTTAGATGTACCTACACTTGTTCTCTTTTCTAGATGGAAAGATCCTTGAAGGTCGGAAAAATGGTTATTCATATTTTATCCTTTTCTCTATCTAAGGCAGATACTATCCTTATCATGAGTAGGACTTAACTGAGCCTAAAGAATGGCTTGATCTAGGAGTGAAAGGGGAAGGATATTCCTGAAGAATATGAGAACTAGAGGGTAAGAGGACCATTTCATATATTGATTAGACCTATGCCTATGGGCACTTACTAGCATGTTGCATATGTTATCATTCAGGACCAATAATCTTAACTGAGAACACTGAGACTTAGAGGGGCTTAGTGACATGTAAGTAGTGGCAACATTTCAATTCAAATTTAAGATTGCTTGAGTTTAAACTCTGTGGTTTTCCCACTGTATTTTCCACTTAGCAGAGTTGCTGTGGTCTCAGGGAATTGAGGAATCTTAATGAATCTTGAAAGCTATCTGTAACTGTTGTTCGATTGCAGACATGTACCTGGAAAGGGAGAGTTGAATAAAGAAACAATATTTTCCTTAGATGCAGTTGGGACTTCAGAGCCAAATAAGTCCTCTCACAAGGTTAGGAGTGTCAGAGGAGTTTATCAGCCTTATTGTTGCAAGGAAACTAAGGAGAATGAAGATAATATTTAGAAGGAGTCACTAGGTACAACAAGATTGCAAACTTAATTGTAATGCTGATCCCCTCTGTGCCATCTTACTAAAGAGCCAGGAAAATCCTTTATCACAAAAGATTTCCAAGGATGCAACATTTTCCTCTATTTCTATTTCACTTAAATTATCACCCTGAAGATTTCAAAGGGGTGCTCTCAGCAGTCTGATAGATTGAAGCCCCTCTCTAACTAAAGGAAACATTGATTGTGTAAAAAGGAAAAATATCAGAGACATCCCTGGTAGATCTCTGTGAAACCATGTACTCATATGAGACTTCTTTTTTTTGTATTTGTTATCACTTTGAAAATGACAAAGGAGCAATAAAATAATTAATTAAGTTCTGGAATAACATCTTGCCTCATGATTATAATCAGGAAAGCAACTGTGAAAATGGCATTGTAAGTCTCGATTCCCACTCTTTGGTGTGACTTGGCCCTGAAATGTTCTCAGGACACAAAGGAGAGCTGATATTTTTGTCTGAGTGAAGCTGAAAACTCAACCTAGGCTGTGAAAATTAAAGCTGGTTGTTGTTCTCCCTAAAATCTGTAACAAAATCTTGCAATTAGGATCCACAAGTACTGAATCCTTTAGATAATTTTACCTATCTTCATGTGTAAATATATGTGTGTATATATATGCATTTTTAATGATGTGTAGAACAAACAGGTAAATAGAGTTGGTTTTTCTATGGTTTTGGTAGCTCTGAAAGGTTAGGTTGGCTCAAGATGTATTTGAATCAGTTTATCCATACCTTTGGGTGGAGTCCAAACTGTTTAGCCTTGTGGCAAGGAGCTCTGCCTCCTGCTTACCTCTTTAACCCCTCTTCCCCTCATACAAGACGCTTTTTAATATTCTTCTATTTTGTATAATGTGATATTTTCCCTCCCACCACAGCAGGTTTACATCTTCTTCCCTTTCTGCCTTCAATGCTCTTCTCAATCCCCCCATACACTCTAGGTCTTAGCAGCTTCCACAGTCCTTCTCCACAGACGCCTTCCCTGGCACCCCTTCCAGGCTGAAGCCCTTGCAGTGCATCTCTGTATGGTCCCTTTTCTAACTGTGCTCACATCTACAATCACTTGGTTCCTGATTGTCTTCCAATTGAACTATGAGCTCTGGGAGGGTAGAGCTGAGGTTTGGTTTGTTAAAGCATAGTGTCTGATGTATACTAAGATCTTAGTAAATATTTGTTGAAAAAAGTAAATAGATAAAAAAACAATATGTCCAAAGGAAGTCATGATTGAAAATGGTTGATCATTTTAGATGAGCAGCTTTTCAATTGCCTGTTTCCAAAACTCCAAGGGCAAAGCAAACGGACAATTTTTAGTCTCCTTGATCTTAACTCTGAGCACCACGTGGTGCATATAAGTAGTTGCTAAGCTGGTGTTGTTTAAATGAATGGGGCAACAGGGCTGAGTAGGAAGGGCTAAACTTTAGAGGCAGGCTGATCTAGCTCAATTCCTGAGTGCCTCATTTAGTAGCTTAGGGACTTTATTTCTCACATCCCTGTCTTATAAAATTAGTAATAGTTAACAATTATAGGTTGAATAGATCTATTTTCTGCATGATGCTTTATTTTGTTTCAAAGAAAAAAATGAAAATTTGATAGTACAGTATTAGTACTTCATAGCTATTCAGTATTGTGGCTTTTATTATTATGCTATGTGAAGCAAGACAAACAAAGAAGAATTAAATCAAATGTAACTCTTAGCCACAAGAAACTTCTAATCCAGGGAATAAAACTAACACATAAAGACCAGATTGCAGAAATATTTGTAAAGAACACTGTTGAGGTTCACACTATATATGAAAATTCTTTTGAGAAGACATAGTTTCTGTTGGGGGTAACAAGGGATCCCAACAGAATTAGAATCTTAATTTTATTAGCGACTATGAGTTACTGGGAAAAAAATTTCAACCTTTTTTTCTTTTCTTTTCTTTTTTTTTTTTTTTTTTTTGAGATGGAGTCTCCCTCTGTTTCCAGGCTGGAGTGTAGTGGAACGATCTCGGCTCACTGCAATCTCCATCTCCCAGGTTCAAGCGATTCTCTGCCTCAGCCTCCCAAGTAGCTGGGACTACAGGTGAGTGCCACCACACCCAGCTAATTTTTGTATTTTTAGTAAAGACGGGGTTTCACCATGTTGGCCAGGATGGTCTCGATCTTCTGACCTCGTGATCTGCCCTCCTTAGCCTCCCAAAGTGCTGGGATTACAGGTGTGAGCCACTGTGCCTGGCCTTCATTCAACTTTTATAAAGGTCAATTTCCTCTGCTGAGAACTTGGAACATAACTACTCCACAGGTTTATAGCATGGCTGAAATACAGTAATGCAAATGAGGACATCTAACATAAGTGCATGAATATTCCAGCACCTGTTAGATGTCAAGTGCCCTGAATTTGATATTCAGGTCTGGAATATGATTAATGCTTAACAGAGTTTTGCATGAATAAACAAAAAAATGTGTAAAAGGAGATTTTCAGCTTGGGCTTGAAGGATGACATGATTTATATTGGAGAGTTGTGGGGCAGGATAGAGGTAATATCATATTCCAAAGAGGACAAGGTGTCAGTAAAGGGGCAGAGGCAGGAAGTCCCATGGCATGGCAGGAGGTGATGAAGTGACTTGTCCAAGGGCACATAGCTAGTCAGTGGTAGATCAGAGTCTTTTCCATTTTACAACATGATCTCATAAATAGGACCACAGATGATGTTTGAGATGGCTTTGAGTTTCAGGAAGATTATTTGGGAGGCAGTTTGTAAGGAATCCTGGAAAGTGATCTTGAGTTCCTGCCACGTGCCAGGTGCTGAGCTAGGATGTCAAGCACATGCACATAGGTCATTCTTGCAGAGAGCTAGGGTGCTGTCACATGGCTGAGGCAATAAAATAATTTAAGTCTTTGTGGAGGGTAAGAACACTATAATGCTGCTGATAATCATGGCAAACAATCATATAGTGGTTACTATTAAAACTCACCAATATTTAACCTATAAACAATGGCAATTTTCTATCATTCAAGCTGATATATGCCAGGAATTATTACATATGCTTCTAAAAAGCACTCATTAAATCCTCACAGCAACCTAGTCAGAGAGGCAGTATTATTATTATCACTTTGTGGCAAGGAAATTAAAGGACATTACAAAAGATAGTTGGGACTATTTAACCAGAACTCAAGAAAGAGGTTCCATCTGCAGATAAAATTTAAAATGTCATGAGTATCAGTGAAAGAGCTGAAGCATGAGGACAGATGAGATTACAATGGGTCTCAAAAAGAGCCTGGACAGGATGGGTTTAGAAATGTCAGGGAAAGGTTGCACTTATTAGATGGGACACACTTATTCTAAAAAGTATCCAATATTTATTTGAAATTTATGTATGCTCTATATTTTAGTTTGCTAAGTATAGTAATCCTCCCTATGTGAGTAAACAGCAATTTGTCACTTGATAAAAATATAGAATCATCCCAATGATGGGTGACTTGCCCACGACTTACAGATATTCATTTGTTGTCAGAAGGTCCAGATTTTACCTCTTGCTCTGTCCCTTTCCATACTACATTTTTAAGTACCTTTTATCGTACATGTATTGAAAGCAACCTTGAAAATATGCCTGTAAGATAAAAGAAACTAATGCGCTCACAAACTAAACTAATCTTTATTTTTAGACTCATCTGCTAACCTGCCTTTGAACTGGCTTCTGACTTTCCCTCCTATTCCATTCTTAATGAGATCGTTTTCATTCTTTAAAGCCCATTTCAATTGTCTTCTAACCTATAAACTCCATTCCTCAGTCCTTCTAGGAAAAAGTAATTGATTCTCTCACACTTTTTCCACATGCCATGCTATTGCATTTTATACAGCATTATAATAATATATTTATGTATCTTTCTTCCTCAGTATACCAAAAGCCCTTTATAAGTGTGGCACATATTTTAACACCCAAGGAACTATTATAGAGGCTGGTTCAAAACATTTTTCAATTAATGTTTCCTGAATTTAGTAGAGTTAGATCTACATATGTATACTACTACAAACATATGCATATAATAAGTTCAAATAGGTAGGCAAATTATACTTAATAAATTCTATACATGTTTGTGTGCAAGTATCTGTAAATATTTTATAAGCATATGTGATATATATTCTATAACATAATACATGCTGGGTAAATGTATGTTGAATTGAATGCATGAGAATATCTTGATCACAGTTAACATTTTTTGACTATGCCCTATGTGCCAAATCCTTTGCTAAGGGCTTCACATAAACTCTCATTTCCTTGGCGTACCAGTGAACCCTAACATAGGTACTCTCATTATCCTGTGTTTGCAAAGAAGGAAACCTAGACTTAAAACCTAGACTTAAAACCGTGAAGTAAATTGCCCATAGTTCTGTGTTCATTGAGTCAGAGATTTGAATTTTAAATCTAAATGTATCTGACTCTAAAGTTTGTGTTCTTTCTAGTAACATTCTGTGGATAGATTCATACATACATATATACACACACAGATATGTATATAGAGCAAGCTATGGAGACATGTCCATATGCCATATACAACAGAGTTATAGGTCTGTATACATATATTATCAACTCTTGTCTCTTGAATATGAACATAATGAGAGCATATATAATTATATAAAATATACATATGTGGTATATGTTATACATTTATATAGAATAAACATTTCTTTTTCTCTGACAAGTACGTGCTTTGTTCACAGACCTAGTATTTTGCTATGAACTTTGGGTGAATCAATCAGCAAGTATGTATATGCCTTTTCTAATATAAATATATTTTCTATATATATATTTATATATAACTTTATCATTTTAAGGGCTGCACATAGAAGATATAAAATGGATTTTCTGGGTTAAAAAATCTATAGCTACTCTCCATCAGTATGCTTGCCAGCCATAGCTGCCATCCCCATGTGGTGGAGAGGTGTGGACCATCATCAACAAGTGTTAATTTGTCAGTCTAGTTAGGACAAGGATACTATTATAAAGCTTTGTTCTCTGGAAATATATACAATCACAGCTGAAATTCAGGCACTTGCTGTCACTACTTGCAACAAAAGTGTCTATGGGTTTTTGGTTCTTTTTATGCTGCCCCTTCCTTTTTTCCTCAGCCTGGGAGTCAGTTACATTTGTATCTATTCTTTCAGATCTGCTTCCTTAGCAAGGTATATGTGCTAACATACCACTTTCTACTCCTCAATCTCCTTTGCCCTCTTTGCATTTAAGTAAGACTTTCACAATTCCAGGATCCCTCTGAAGCCGGCAGAAATCACTGCTGCCCTTTCCCACAAGGGTTGCCAAGTCCAAAGAACATGAAGTGTAATCAGGATTTTGCTACTTACTATTGGGTGACCTGGGCAAGTCCCTCCCTCCTTCCCTCCCTTCCTCTTTGTTTTCTTTTCTTTACTTTTTTCTTTTCTTTTCTTTCTCTCTCTCTTTCTTTCTTTCTCTCTCTTTCTTCTTTCTTCCTTCTTTCTTTGTCTTTCTCTTTCCTTCTTTCTTCTTTTTCTCTTTCTCTCTTTCTTTCTCTTTATCTCTTTCTTTTCCTTTCTCTTTCCTTTCTTTTCCTTTTTTTCTCTTTTCATTTACAACAGCCTCGACTCCTGCAGGCTCAAATGACCTTCTTGCCTCAGTCTCCCAAGTAAATGGGACTACAGGCACACATCTCCATGCCTGGCTAGTTCTTTAAAAAAATTTTGTAGATGGGGTCTCACTATGTTGCCCAGGCTTATCTCAAACACCAGGGCTCAAGCAATCCTCCTGCCTCAGACTTTCAAAGTGCTGGGATTATAAGCATGATCCACCACTCCCCACTTAAGCAAGTTTCTGAATCCCTATGTGCCTCAGTTTTCCGTCCCCAAAATGGAAATCATACGACTTACATGTTGGGCTTTCTATGAGGATTAAAGGAGATTGTTTACATCTGAATAATGAAACAAGTACAAGGTGTTCTAGTTAACTCAGTAAAGTGAAAGGAATAAATTAAAGCAGCAACAGTGAAGAGGCTAAAAAGACTGTCAGTAGATAGATTCCACAAAGTGTAGGATCGGGGAGCATGGGTGAACATCTGCTCATGTACATAACAAACTATGGGGGAGAACAAAGTACTGGGAAGTGGACCACTACGAAAGAGTGGATTGCTTGGAAGAGCTTAAAAAGGCAGTCGTAAAGCATGTAAAACAGCAGTAGTTTAAATTAGAATTACAAATCCAAAAATATGTTTTCAAAAAGTTGAAACAAATAGAGTCCAAGCGACACAATGACTAAAGAGTTAGATGATGTTAGTGACATGGCAAATTAGGCAAATGCTCCTTCCACTGAATAATAAGATAATTAAAAACTTCTATAAAATGTTATAATAAAACATTTTGCAGTGTTTACTATGTGGCCAACTATGTGAAATCCTTTGTACACATTTCGTCTAATCCTCCTGACAATACTACATATTTGGCGCTGCTCTCACCCACATTTAAAAGATGAAGAAGCTGAAGCACAGAGAGCTCCTCAAGGGCATGAAGTTAACCTCACAGTCAGGATAAGAACCCCTTATAATTCACCCCAGAGCCCACAGTCTACATCCCAATGGTGTATTTCTCTCACAAAGGACATGAGTCACAGTTGACACAGATGCAGTATGTCATGATTTTTAGCTATTGGTGGAGGTTAATAAAAGATAAACCTTTGAACAGGATAGGAAGAACTTTTTTAAGTGGCGAAAGCAAAGTAATAGTCAACAGAAAAAGAAGAAAATAAAATGAAAGCACAGCTACTTGGCTTGACAGTGAGGGACTTTTATGTTGTCAAATAAGAAATGTTTATTGGCTTTTATTTTTTATGTCAATATAAGGACACAAGATAGAAAATACAAATGTGTTTACCAAGATATAGATGTCATCAGCCTTGATGGCTTAAAAGAAAAGGCAATGCTCCCAGAAGACTGGAGGAAGCTAGGAGGTGAGAAGGAGGGATGAAGTACCTACATTGATGGAGATTCATGAGATGCTATTTAAAGTTAAAGAAATAAGAAGGAAAGTTGAATTGTTCTATTTATGTAAAGACAAACACTATGCAAAAAATTTATCTTGTAAAAATTAAGTGGGATTATAGAGTTAAGAAAATTTGGCTAATCTTTTCACAGAAAGAACTGATAGATGTAATTAAATTAATTAAATCAAGAAAAGCCTGTATAATCATATCAATTTAGATTTAGAGTTGTAATTAGCAGACTCCTTGAAGTAAATCAGGGTCAAGGAGAAATCACAGACAGCAGTGAAGCCAGAGCACTCTTACTTTCCTGTATAAGCTTCACAGCATTCATGTGTGTGTGTTTGTGTAAGAGTGAGTGTATGTGTATGTCCACACTTATACACATAGACATACATATTACCCACAGCTATATTTCTCCTTGTAACAGCAGCCAGGAATGAGAGTCCCTTAAGCAAACTAGACATTCCCTGAAGGGAAAAAAACATGCCTAGGTGAAAATTATCATCATCAAAGGCTATGGATCCTTCCCAGGAGCTGACATCAACATACTAGTGGATTAAAAGAATTAACAAGTGCGTTGCCAATTCACACTGGATCCTATTTCTCTATGAGGTCCCCTCCCGTCCTTCCTCTCCCCTCCCCTCCCCTCCCTGCCTTCCCTCCTTCCTTTTTTCATTTCCCTCCTCCCTCCCTTTCTCCCTCTGTTTTTTCTCTCTTCTTTCAACTTCAGTGTATTCCTATATATCCTACCAATGCTTCCGTTTTAGCATCATGAATATTTATAGTCCAAATGAGAAAAACAACCAGCTTCACTTTGCTAAAAGGAAATCTCAAAGTCTAAGATGTTAGGAGCTACTACCCTTGACAAAATGAGAGTTTGCCAGCCATCTTTCATAGTTAGGTTCAAAACCTATTCTTCCACTTCCTCCTTTGTGTAGTCTTAAGTGAATACACCTCATTGTCTCAGTTTCCACGTCTATAAAATGGAAGTATTAATACCTCAAACTATTATTGAGAGATTAAATGTGTCAACACTGTCCACCAAGGACACTTATGTGGTGCTAGGCATAATGCCCTATGTGCAATATCTTACTACAGCCATCACAATAGCTTCACAAAGACCCCTGTGTGATGGATATTACCATCCATTCTATGGATGAGTCTGTGGAAGCTCATAATAGTTAAGGAACAGTTCTAAGTAGCCAAATCTGAATTTGAACCCAGGCCTTTTTGAGTGATTCCTCCCACCACACTCTTTATGCTATTTCACTTTACAGAGGGGACATCCAGGTGTAATGCCATGGTACCACCTCCCTCCACTGAACCCAAGCTGACTTCTGCCCCCTGGAAAGTGATGGAGTGACTATTCAGAATCTCATTTTTATGGCCTGTGGATAGCGAAGTTCATTCAGGAAACACAATAAAACTCCACCAATAGTGCTCTTCTGACTGAAGACAAGAAGTTAACCAGAAAGTAGTGGCTTTGACATAAATCTTCTCAGTTGTGGCAAATTATGAACTTGACTATATTTTATTTGTTTTATTTAAAATTCTCATTTCCACTGAAAGGATTTTTCCTAAGGCCATAATATTCTTATCTCTAGCCAAACGACTCAGAAGAAAGAAAATATATGGTAGGGAAATTACAGGCTTTTAACTTTGTCAGGAGTTTCCTGAGTTATCCGTAAATCCTCCTCCTTTCTCCACTCATCCACTCAGGCTTAAAAGTTGCTTCTTCTTTGTTCTGCACCTTTCCAGAACCTATGCTGTTCTCACACATGCATAGTAACTGTTCAGTTCTCCAAACAAAGTGCAACTGCTATGTGTCTCTCCCTGTCTCTCACTGAAGCCTCTTCAGTTCATTTGTTATTGATGCACAAGTGAGTTTTCTAAAAAGCAAATCTGACCATATCACTCCTCTGCTTGCACGCCCTTGAGAGGTCCAGTTGCTAATATCATCTAAAGTAAATTTCTTAGAATGGCAGAAGAGAACTCTGGATTTTGTCCTCAACATATTTTTTTCCTGCCTACTTCACACCCCTAACCTTAACGTACAACACATAAACGGTATTCAACTATGTGTGGTTCCCAGGACAGTGAGATGGTTTCACATCTTCATGACTTGGCACATACTCCAATTTTCCTGGAATATATAGTTCACTTTGCTCAGCTTTGCATACTATTACTCATGTTTCATGACCTATCTTAAATACCACTCATGTAACTTTCCCAGAAGAATCACTCAATATTTCCTTTATGTGAGTATCTCATTTTGTATTATAGCACTTACAGTAATTATTCATTGTAATTATTTGCTTGCACGTTTATTACTCCAAGGAGAGTGAACTCTTTGGGGCAGAGAAAATATCTTAGGTATTTTTGTACCCCTAACACCTAGGACAGGGTCAAGCACAGACTAGATCTCACCAGTAAATACCTTGGGCATGAATAAATATTCAGGAGTAGGAAATTATTTCTGACACATGGTCAGATCATTGATTGTGTGTGTGTAACATATCAGATTATGTGGTAAGCATTGGGATAGAACTTTGAACCAGAGAGTCATAATCTCAAATTTCACCGAGCTCACTTATATGCTAAAACTCTCATGAAAGTGCATATATCAGGGGAGCGGTTCCAAGATGGCCGAATAGGAAGAGCTCCAGTCTACAGCTCCCAGCGTGAGCAACACAGAAGACGAATGATTTCTGCATTTCCAACTGAGGTACTGAGTTCATCTTACCAGGGCTTGTCGGACAATGGGTACAGGACAGTGGGTGCAGCGCACTGAGTGTGAGCTGAAGCAGGGCAAGGCATCACCTCACCTGGGAAGTGCAAGGGGTCAGGGAATTCCCTTGCACATCCAAACAAAGCTGTAACGGATGGCACCGGGAAAATCCGGTCACTCCCACCCTAATACTGCGCTTTTCCAATGATCTTAGCAAATGGCACACCAGGAGATTATATCCCATGCCTGGCTCCAAGGGTCATACACCCATGCAGCCTCACTCATTGGAGCACAGCAGTCTGAGATCAAACTGCAAGGCAGCAGTGAGGCTGTGGGAGGGGCACCTGCCATTGCTGAGGCCTGAGTAAGTAAACAAAGCTGCCAGGAAGCTCATACTGGGTGGAGCCCACCGCAGCTCAAGGAGGCCTCCTGCCTCTGTAGACTCCACCTTTGGGGGCAGGGCATAGCCAAACAAAAGGCAGCAGAAACCTCTACAGACTTAAACGTCCCTGTCTGACAGCTTTGAAGAGAGTAGTGGTTCTCCCAGCACAGAGTTCGAGATCTGAGAACGGACAGACTGCCTCATCAAGTGGGTCCTGACCCCTGAGTAGCTTATCTGGGAGGCACTCCTCAGTAGGGACAGACTGATATCTCACAGGGCCGGGTACCCCTCTGAGATGAAACCTCCGAAGGAACGATCAGACAGCAACATTTGCTGTTCAGCAATATTCGCTGTTCTGCAGCCTCCACTGCTGATACACAGGCAACAAAGGTCAGGGGTGGCCTTCCAGCAAACTCCAACAGACCTGCAGCTGAGGGTCCTGACTGTTAAAAGGAAAACTAACAAACAGAAAGGACACCCACACGAAAACCCCATGTGTATGTCACCATCATCAAAACCAAAGGTAAATAAAAGTGCAAAGATGGGGAAACATAGAACAGAAAAACTGAAAATTCTAAAAATCAGAGCACCTCTCCTCCTCCAAAGGAATGCACCTCCTCACCAGCAGCGGAACAAAGCTGGATGGAGAATGACTTCGACCAGTTGAGAGAAGAAGGCTTCAGATGATCAAACTTCTCCAAGCTAAAGGAGGAAGTTAGAAGCCATGGCAAAGAAGTTAAAAACCTTGAAAAGAGATTAGACAAATGGCTAACTAGAATACCAATGCAGAGAAGTCCTTAAAGGACCTGATGGAGCCGAAAACCATGGCACGAGAACTATATGATGAATGCACAAGCTTCAGTAGCCGATTCGATCAACTGGAAGAAAGGGTATCAGTGATTGAAGATCAAATGAATGAAATGAAGCAAGAAGAGAAGTTTAGAGAAAAAAGAATAAAAAGAAACGAACAAAGCCTCCATGAAATATGGGACTATGTGAAAAGACCAAATCTACATCTGATTGGTTTACCTGAAAGTGACGGGGAGAATGGAACCAAGTTGGAAAACACTCTGCAGGATATTATCCATGAGAACTTCCCTAATCTAGCAAGGCAGGCCAACATTCAAATTCAGGAGATACAGAAAATGCCACAGAGATACTCCTCGAGAAGAGCAACTCTAACACACATAATAGATTCACCAAAGTTGAAATGAAGGAAAAATTGATAAGGGCAGCCGGAAAGGTCGGGTTACCCACAAAGGGAAGCCCATCAGACTAACAGCTGATGTCTCGGCAGAAACTCTACAAGCCAGAAGAGAGTGGGGGACAATATTCAACTTTCTTAAAGAAAAGAATTTTCAATCCAGAATTTCATATCTGCCCAAACTAAGCTTCATAAGTGAAGGAGAAATAAAATCCTTTACAGACAAGCAAATGCTGAGAGATTTTGTCACCACCAGGCCTTCCCTACAAGAGCTCCTGAAGGAAGCAATAAACATGGAAAGGAAAAACTGGTACCAGCCACTGCAAAAACATGCCAAATTCTAAAGACCATCCAGACTAGGAAGAAACTGCATCAATTAACGAGCAAAATAAACAGCTAACATCATAATGACAGGATAAAATTCACACATAACAATATTAACCTTAAATGTAAATGGAATAAATGCTCCAATTAAAAGACACAGACTGGCAAATTCAATAAAGAGTCAAGACCCATCACTGTGCTGTATTCAGGAAACCCATCTCACGTGCAGAGACACACATAGGCTCACAATAAAGGAATGGTGGAAGATCTACCAAGCAAATGGAAAACAAAAAAAGGCAGAGGTTGAAATCCTAGTCTCTGATAAAACAGACTTTAAACCAACAAAGATCAAAAGACACAAAGAAGGCCATTACATAATGGTAAAGGGATCAATTCAACAAGAAGAGCTAACTATCCTAAATATATATGCACCCAATACAGGAGGACCAAGATTCATAAAGCAAGTCCTTAGAGACCTACACTCCCACACAATAATAATGGGAGACTTTAACACCCCAATGTCAACATTAGACAGATCAATGAGACAGAAAGTTAACAAGGATATCCAGGAATTGAACTCAGCTCTGCACCAAGCAGACCTAATAGACATCTACAGAACTCTCCACCCCAAATCAACAGAATATACAATCTTCTCAGCACCACACCGCACTCATTCCAAAATTCACCACATAGTTGGAAGTAAAGCACTCTTCAGCAAATGGAAAAGAACAGAAATGATAACACACTGTCTCTCAGACCACAGTGCAATCAAACTAGAACTCAGAATTAAAAAACTCACTCAAAACCACTGAAATACATGGAAACTGAACAGCTTGCTCCAGAATGACTACTGGGTATATAACAAAATGAAGGCAGAAATAAAGATGTTCTTTGAAACCGATGAGAACAAAGACACAACATACCAGAATCTCTGGGACACATTTAAAGCAGTGTGTGAGGGAAATTTACAGCACTAAATGCCCACAAGAGAAAGCAGGAAAGATCTAAAATTGACACCCTAACATCACAATTAAAAGAACTAGAGAAGCAAGAGCAAACACATTCAAAAGCTAGCAGAAGGCAAGAAATAACTAAGATCAGAGCAGAACTGAAGGAAATAGAGACACAAAAAACCCTTCAAAAAACAATGAATCCAGGAACTGGTTTCTTGAAAAGATCAACAAAATTGATAGACCACTAGCAAGACTAATAAAGAAGAAAAGAGAGAAGAATCAAATAGACACAATAAAAAATGATAAAGGGGATATCACCACCAATCCCACAGAAATAGAAACTACCATCAGAGAATACTGTAAACACCTCTATGCAAATAAACTAGAAAATCTAGAAGAAATGGATAAATTCCTCGACACATACACCCTCCCAAGACTAAACCAGGAAGAAGTTGAATCTCTGAATAGACCAATATAACAGGCTCTGAAATTGAGGCAATAATTAATAGCTTACCAACCAAAAAAAGTCCAGGACCACACGGATTCACAGCTGAATTCTACCAGAGGCACAAGGCGGAGCTGGTACCATTCCTTCTGAAACTATTCCAATCAATAGAAAAAGAGGGAATCCTCCTTAACACATTTTATGAGGCCAGCATCATCCTGATACCAAAGCCTGGCAGAGACACACACACAAAAAAGAATTTTAGACCAATATCCCTGATGAACATCAATGCAAAAATCCTCAATAAAATACTGGCAAACTGAATCCAGCAGCACATCAAAAAGCTTATCCACCATGATCAATTTGGCTTCATCCCTGGGATGCAAGGCTGGTTCAACATTGGCAAATCAATAAATGTAATACAGCATATAAACAGAACCAATGGCAAAAACCACTTGATTATCTCAATAGATGCAGAAAAGTCCTTTGATGAAATTCAGCAGCCCTTCGTGCTAAAACCTCTCAACAAATTAGGTATTGATGGAATGTATCTAAAAGCAATAAGAGTGATTTATGATGAACCCACAGCCAATAACATACTGAATGGGCAAAAACTAGAAGCACTCCTTTTGAAAACTGGTGCAAGACAGGGATGTCCTCTCTCACCACTCCTACTCAACATAGTGTTGGAAGTTCTGGCCAGGGCAATCAGGCAGGAGAAAGAAATAGGGGCATTCAGTTAGGAAAAGAGGAAGTCAAACTGTCCCTGTTTGCAGATGACATAATTGTATATCTAGAAAACCCCATCGTCTCAGCCCAAAATCACCTTAAGCTGATAAGCAACTTCAGCAAAGTCTCAGGATACAAAATCAATGTGCAAAAATAACAAGCATTCTTATACACCAATAACAGACAGAGAGCCAAATCATGAGTGAATTCCCATTCACAATTACTTCAAAGAGAATAAAATACCTAGGAATCCAACTTACAAGGGATGTGAAGGACCTCTTCAAGGAGAACTACAAACCACTGCTCAACAAAATAAAAGAGCATACAAACAAATGGAGGAACATTCCATGCTCATGGATAGGAATAATCAATATCATCAAAATGGCCACACTTCCCAAGGTAGTTTATAGACTCAATGCCATCCCCATCAAACTACCAATGACTTTCTTCATAGAATTGGAAAAAACTTCTTTAAAGTTCATATGGAACCGAAAAAGAGCCCACATTGCCAAGTCAATCCTAAGCCAAAAGAACAAAGCTGGAGGCATCATGCTACCTGACTTCAAACTATACTACAAGGCTACAGTAACCAAAACAGCATGGTACTGGTACCAAAACAGAGATATAGACCAATGGAACAGAACAGAGCCCTCAGAAACAATCCCACACACCTACAACTATCTGATCTTTGACAAACCTGACAAAAAAAAGAAATGGGGAAAATATTCCCTATTTAATAAATGATGCTGGGAAAACTGCCTAGCCATATGTAGAAACATGAAATTGGATCGCTTCCTTACACCTTATACAAAAATTAACTCAAGATGGATTAAAGACTTAAATGTTAGACCTAAACCATAAAAACCCTGGAAGAAAACCTAGGCAATACCATTCAGGACATAGGCATGTGCAAGGACTTCATGTCTAAACACCAAAAGCAATGACAACAAAAGCCGAAATTGACAAATGGGATCTAATTAAACTAAAGAGCTTCTGCACAGCAAAAGAAACTACCATCAGAGTGAACCAGCAGCCTACAGAATAGGAGAAAATTTTTGCAAGCTACTCATTCAACAAAGGGCTAATATCCAGAATCTACAATGAACTCAAAGAAATTTACAAGAAAAAAACAAAAAACCCCATCAAAAAAGTGGGCAAAGGATATAAACAGACACTTCTCAAAAGAAGACATTTATGCAGCCAAAAGACACATGAAAAAATGCTCATCATCACTGGTCATCAGAAAAATGCAAATCAAAACCACAATGAGATATCATCTCACACCAGTTAGAACGACGATCATTAAAAAGTCAGGAAACAACAGGTGCTGGAGAGGATGTGGAGAAATAGGAACACTTTTACACTGTTGGTGGGACTGTAGACTAGTTCAACCATTGTGCAAGACAGTGTGACGATTCCTCAGGGATCTAGAGCTAGAAATACCATTTGACCCAGCCATCCCATTCCTGGTATATACCCAAAGGAATATAAATCATGCTGCTATAAAGACACATGCACACATATGTTTATTGCGGCACCACTCACAATAGTAAAGACTTGGAACCAACCCAAACGTCCAACAATGATAGACTGGATTAAGAAAATGGGAGAGGGCAGCCAAGATGTCTGAATAGGAACAACTCCGGTCTACAGCTCCCAGCGTGAGTGACACAGAAGATGGGTGATTTCTGCATTTCCATCTGAGGTACCAGGTTCATCTCACTAGGGAGTGCCAGAGAGTGGGTGCAGGAGAGTGGGTGCAGCGCACCGTGTGCGAGCCGAGCAGCATGAGGCATTGCCTCACTCGGGAAGTGCAAGGGGTCAGGGAGTTCCCTTTCCTAGTCAAAGAAAGGGGTGACAGGCAGCACCTGGAAAATAGGGTCACTCCCACCCTAATACTGCGCTTTTCCGACGGGCTTAAAAAACGGCGCACCGGGAGATTATATCCCGCACGTGGCTCAGAGGGTCCTATGCCCAAGGAGTCTGGCTGATTGTTAGCACAGCAGTCTGAGATCAAACTGCAAGGCAGCAGCTAGGCTGGGGGAGGGGCGCCCACCATTGCCCATGCTTGCTTAGGTAAACAAAGTAGCTGGGAAGCTCAAACTGGGTGGAGCCCACCACAGCTCAAGGAGGCCTGCCTGCCTCTGTAGGCTCCACCTCTGGGGGCAGGGCACAGACAAACAAAAAGACAGCAGTAACCTCTGCAGACTTAAATGTCCCTGTCTGACAGCTTTGAAGAGAGAAGTGGTTCTCCCAGCATGCAGCTGGAGATCTGAGAACGGGCAGACTGCCCCCTCAAGTGGGTCCCTGACCCCTGACCCCCGAGCAGCCTAACTGGGAGGCACCCCCAGTAGGGGCAGACTGACACCTCACACGGCTGGGTACTCCAGTGACACAAAACATCCAGAGGAAGGATCAGGCAGCAGCATTTGCGGTTCACCAATATCCACTATTCTACTGCCACTGTTGCTGATACCCAGGCAAACAGGGTCTGGAGTGGACTTCTAGCAAACTCCAACAGACCTGCAGCTGAGGGTCCTGCCTGTTACAAGGAAAACTAACAAACAGAAAGGACATACACACCAAAAACCCATTTGTACATCACCATCATCAAAGACCAAAAGTAGATAAAACCACAAAGATGGGGAAAAAACAGAGCAGAAAAACTGGAAACTCTAAAAAGCAGAGTGCCTATCCTCCTCCAAAGGAACGCAGTTCCTCATCAGCAATGGAACAAAGCTGGATAGAGAATGACTCTGACAAGTTGAGAGAAGAAGGCTTCAGATGATCAAACTACACCGAGCTACAGGAGGAAATTCAAACCAAAGGCAAACAAGTTAAAAATTTTGAAAAAAATTTAGGTGAATGTATAACTAGAATAACCAATACAGAGAAGTGTTTAAAGGAGCTGATGGAGCTGAAAACCAAGGCTCGAGAACTACGTGAAGAATGCAGAAGCCTCAGGAGCCGATGCGATCAACTGGAAGAAAGGGTATCAGTGATGGAAGATGAAATGAATGAAATGAAGTGAGAAGGGAAGTTTAGAGAAAAAAGAATAAAAAGAAATGAACAAAGCCTCCAAGAAGTATGGGACTATGTGAAAAGACCAAATCTACATCTGATTAGTGTACGTGAAAGTGAGGGGGAGAATGGAACCAAGTTGGAAAGCACTCTGCAGGATATTATCCAGGAGAACTTCCCCAATCTAGCAAGGCAGGCCAACATTCAGATTCAGGAAATACAGAGAAAGCCACAAAGATACTCCTCAAGAAGAGCAACTCCAAGACACATAATTGTCAGATTCACCAAAGTTGAAATGAAGGAAAAAATGTTAAGGGCAGCCAGAGAGAAAGGTCAGGTTACCCACAAAGGGAAGCCCATCAGACTAACAGTGGATCTTTCGGCAGAAACTCTACAAGCCAGAAGAGAGTGGGGGACAATATTCAACTTTCTTAAAGAAAAGAATTTTCAACCCAGAATTTCATATCCAGCCAAACTAAGCTTCTTAAGTAAAGGAGAAATAAAATACTTTACAGACAAGCAAATGCTGAGAGATTTTGTCACCATCAGGCCCACGCTAAAACAGCTCCTGAAGGAAGCACTAAACATGGAAAGGAACAGCCAGTACCAGCCGCCGCAAAATCATGCCAAAATGTAAAGCCCATCGAGACTAGGAAGAAACTGCATCAACTAATGAGCAAAATAACCAGCTAACATAATAATGACAGGATAAAATTCACACATAACAATATTCATCTTAAATGTAAATGGAGTAAATGCTCCAATTAAAAGACACAGACTGGCAAATTTGATAAAGAGTCAAGACCCATCAGAGTGCTGTATTCAGGGAACCCATCTCACGTGCAGACACACATAGGCTCAAAATAAAAGGATGGAGGAAGATCTACCAAGAAAATGGAAAACAAAAAAAGGCAGGGGTTGAAATCCTAGTCTCTGATAAAACAGACTTTAAACCAACAAAGATCAAAAGACACACAGAAGGCCATTACATAATGGTAAAGGGATCAATTCAACAAGAAGAGCTAACTATCCTAAATATATATGCACCCAATACAGGAGCACCAAGATTCATAAAGCAAGTCCTGAGTGACCTACAAAGAGACTTAGACTCCCACACAATAATAATGGGAGACTTTAACACCCCAATGTCAACATTAGACAGATCAACAAGACAGAAAGTTAACAAGGATACCCAGGAATTGAACTCAGCTCTGCACCAAGCAGACCTAATAGACATCTACAGAACTCTCCACCCCAAATCAACAGAATATACATTCTTTTCAGCACCACACCATACCTTTTGCAAAATTGACCACATAGTTGGAAGTAAAGCTCTCTTCAGCAAACGTAAAAGAAGAGAAATTATAACAAACTATCTCTCAGACCACAGTGCAATCAAACTAGAACTCAGGATTAAGAAACTCACTCAAAACCGCTCAACTACATGGAAACTGAACAACCAGCTCCTGAATGACTACTGGGTACATAACGAAATGAAGGCAGAAATAAAGATGTTCTTTGAAACCAACGAGAACAAAGACACAACATCCCAGAATCTCTGGGACACATTCAAAGCAGTGTGTAGAGGGAAACTTATAGCACTAAATGCCCACAAGAGAAAGCAGGAAAGATCCAAAACTGACACCCTAACATCACAATTAAAAGAACTAGAAAAGCAAGAGCAAACACATTCAAAAGCTAGCAGAAGGCAAGAAATAACTAAAATCAGAGCAGAACTGAAGGAAATAGAGACACAAAAATCCCGTCAAAAAATTAATGAATCCAGGATCTGGTTTTTTGAAAGGATCAACAAAATTGATAGACCGCTAGCAAGACTAATAAAGAAAAAAAGAGAGAAGAATCAAATAGACGCAATAAAAAATGATAAAGGGGATATCACCACTTATCCCACAGAAATACAAACTACCATCAGATAATAGTACAAACACCTCTATGCAAATAAACTAGAAAATCTAGAAGAAATGGATAAATTCCGCAACACATACACCCTCCCAAGACTAAACCAGGAAGAAGTTGAATCTCTGAATAGACCAATAACAGGATCTGAAATTGAGGCAATAATTAATAGCTTACCAACCAAAAAAAGTCCAGGACCACACGGATTCACAGCTGAATTCTACCAGAGGCACAAGGCGGAGCTGGTACCATTCCTTCTGAAACTATTCCAATCAATAGAAAAAGAGGGAATCCTCCCTAACTCGTTTTATGAGGCCAGCATCATCCTGATACAAAAGCTAGGCAGAGACACAACCAAAAAAAGAGAATTTTAGACCAATAGCCTTGGTGAACATTGATGCAAAAATCCTCAATAAAATACTGGCAAACCAAATCCAGCAGCACATCAAAAAGCTTATCCACCATGATCAATTTGGCTTCATCCCTGGGATGCAAGGCTGGTTCAATATACGCAAATCAATAAATGTAATCCAGCATATAAACAGAACCAAAGACAAATACACATGATTATCTCAATAGATGCAGAAAAGGCCTTTGACAAAATTCAACAATGCTTCATGCTAAAAACTCTCAATAAATTAGGTATTGATGGGATGTATCTCAAAATAATAAGAGCTATCTATGACAAACCCACAGCCAATATCATACTGAATGGGCAAACACTGGAAGCATTCCCTTTGAAAACTGGCACAAGACAGGGATGCCCTCTCTCACCACTCCTATTCAACATAGTGTTGGAAGTTCTGGCCAGGGCAATTAGGCAGGAGAAGGAAATAAAGGGTATTCAATTAGGAAAAGAGGAAGTCAAATTTTCCCTGTTTGCAGATGACATGATTGTATATCTAGAAAACCCCATTGTCTAAGCCCAAAATCTCCTTAAGCATATAAGCAACTTCAGCAAAGTCTCAGGATACAAAATCAATGTACAAAAATCAAAAGTATTCTTATACACTAATAACAGACAAACAGAGAGCCAAATCATGAGTGAACTCCCATTCACAATTGCTTCAAAGAGAATAAAATACCTAGGAATCCAACTTACAAGGGACATGAAGGACCTCTTCAAGGAGTACTACAAACCACTGCTCAATGAAATAGAAGAGGACACAAAGAAATGGAAGAACATTCTATGTTCATGGGTAGGAAGAATCAATATCATGAAAATGGCCACACTGCCCAAGGTAATTTATAGATTCAATGCCATCCCCATCAAGCTACCAATGACTTTCTTCACAGAATTGGAAAAAACTACTTTAAAGTTCATATGGAACCAAAAAGGAGCCCGCATTGCCAAGTCAATCCTAAGCCAAAAGAACAAAGCTGGAGGCATCACGCTACCTGACTTCAAACTATACTACAAGGCTACAGTAACCAAAATAGCATGGTACTGGTACCAAAACTGAGATACAGATCAATGGAACAGAACAGAGCTCTCAGAAATAACGCCGCATATCCACAACTATCTGATCTTTGACAAACCTGAGAAAAACAAGCAATGGGGAAAGGATTCCCTATTTAATAAATGGTGCTGGGAAAACTGGCTAGCCATATGTAGAAAGCTGAAACTGGATCCCTTCCTTACACCTTATACAAAAATTAATTCAAGATGGATTAAAGACTTAAACGTTAGACCTAAAACCATAAAAACCCTAGAAGAAAACCTAGGCATTACCATTCAGGACATAGGCATGGGCAAAGACTTCATGTCTAAAACACCAAAAGCAATGACAACAAAAGCCAAAATTGACAAATGGGATCTAATTAAACTAAAGAGCTTCTGCACAGCCAAAGAAACTACCATAAGAGTGAACAGGCAACCTACAAAATGGGAGAAAATTTTCACAACCTACTCATCTGACAAAGGGCTAATATCCAGAATCTACAAGGAACTCAAACAAATTTACAAGAAAAAGACAAACAACCCCATCAAAAAGTGGGCGAAAGATATGAACAAACACTTCTCAAAAGAAGACATTTATGCAGCCAAAAGACACATGAAAAAATGCTCATCATCACTGGCCATCAGAGAAATGCAAATCAAAACCACAATGGGATACCATCTCACACCAGTTAGAATGGCAATCATTAAAAAGTCAGGAAACAACAGGTGCTGGAGAGGATGTGGAGAAATCAGAACACTTTTACACTGTTGGTGGGACTGTAAACTAGTTCAACCATTGTGGAATTCAGTGTGGTGATTCCTCAGGGATCTAGAACTAGAAATACCATTTGACCCAGCCATCCCATTACTGGGTATATACCCAAAGGACTATAAATCATGTTGCTATAAAGACACATGCACACATATGTTTATTGCGGCACTATTCACAATAGCAAAGACTTGGAACTAACCCAAATGTCCAACAATGATAGATTGGATTAAGAAAATGTGGCACATATACACCATGGAATACTATGCAGCCATAAAAGTGATGAGCTCTTGTCCTTTGTAGGGACATGGATGAAATTGGAAATCATCATTCTCAGTAAACTATCGCAAGGACAAAAAAACAAACACTGCATGTTCTCACTCATAGGTGGGAATTGAACAATGAGAACACATGGACACGGGAAGGGGAACATCACACTCTGGGGACTGTTGTGGGGTAGGGGAAAGGGGAAGGGATAGCATTAGGAGATATACCTAATGCTGAATGACGAGTTAATGGGTGCAGCACACCAGCATGGCACGTGTATACATATGTAACTAACCTGCACATTGTGCACGTGTACCCTAAAACTTAAAGTATAATAATAATAAAATAAAAAATAAACAAAAATATCCAACAGCTAAAAAAAAAAAGAAAGGAAATGTGACACATATACACCATGGAATACTATGCAGCCATTAAAAAGGATGAGTTCATGTCCTTTGTAGGGACATGGATGAAGCTGGAAACCATCATTCTCATCAAACTATCGCAAGGACAATAAACCAAACACAGCATGTTCTCACTCATATGTGGGAATTGAACAATGAGAACACATGGACACAGGAAGGGGAACATCACACACTGGGGCCTGTTGTCGGGGGGGTGAGTGGGGAGGGATAGCATTAGGAGATATACCTAATGTAAATGATGGGTTAATGGGTGCAGCACACCAACATGGCACATGTATACATATGTAACAAACCTGCACGTTGTGCACATGTACCCTAGAACTTAAAGTATAATAAATATATATATATGTATAAAATAAAAAATAAAAAAAATAAAGTGCATACATCAAGAATCACTGTTTAGATGATAGTGTAGGTAAATTTACGGAAGCAAGAGATCAGAAGTAAATACATAACAGAACAAATTCTACCCTGTGTTACAATATCTTCCCCTGCCTATAAAGTAGTACAGTCACTATATAAACAACTTACATATCTGCTGCTCTCTAGAAGATCCAGAGAGGCTTTAAAAGTTTTATTTTGGCCAGGCACAGTGACTCATGCCTGTAATCCCAGCACTTTGGGAGGCCGAGGCAGGTGGATTGTGAGGTCAAGAGTTCAAGACCAGCCTGCCCAAGATGGTGAAACTCCATCTCTATTAAAAATAGGAAACAAAACAAAACAAAAAAAGAATTAGCCGGGCATGCATGGTGGTGGGCGCCTGTAATCCCAGCTACTTGGAGGCTGAGGCAAAGAATCACTTGAACCTGGCAGGTGGGGGTTACAGTGAGCCAAGATCGCGCCGCTGCACTCCAGCCTGGGCAACAGAGCAAGACTCAGCCTCAAAAAAAAAAAAAAATTTTTCTTAACTTGGGTAGTAGTTACAAGGATATTCACCTTGTGATAATTCATTAAGCTGTAAATTAGGCCTGATTTTTAAAAATAGCTGTGATATCTATTTATACTAAGATATTAAAAAATGAAAGGGAGAATTTTTAAAAAACACAAACAAACAAAAAAATCCCCAAGTTGTGAGTGGTTAATTATTTCACAGAGGAAATAGTATGTGGTTAAATATTTCAGAGAGGACAAATAGTAGAAAATAAATCAAAATATAAAAACAAACTTAGAGGTGCCTCCAACCATTTTCATGTCTGGAAGCACATGATAACCTTTATGAGCACACGGAGATGAAAAGATAGTACTATAGTCTGGAGTTCCAGTCACCCATGCTGCCCAGCCGACCAAGGACAGAGGGCTAATTCCTTAAACCACCTTTGAAACATTGGTGACACAGCAGTTGAAAGCTATCTTCCTGAGACCAAGGGCCAGGCAAGAAATGAAGTCTGGGATTGCAGGCTGGGGGAAACTTTCACTAATTGTGTGACTTTTCTAACTTTTTTTTTCTGTAGAGGCAAGTGTAGAAATAATTTTTTCATTCGGAACTACAAGGCACATCCTTCTGCTAAGCAATCAAAATTGAGGCTTATTTCCATTTCAAACTGTTTCTTTATTCCTTGAATTTGCCCTTTCTGATTTTCTAAGAGTCTTGCATTTCTTATTATTCAAATAATTTGGCAACAGATACAAGTAGAATTCTGCAATGGTTGCTAGTAAGAGACTAGAATTGAAAAGAGAGCCTGTGGAAATAGAGGATAAAGAAGCATCAACAAATGGGGCTCATGAGCAACAGGTTTCAGAGAAGATGGGGTTAAGAGACCAGATAAAGATTTTTGAGAAATAAATAAATAAAGAAGAATAGAGAGAAGACAAAGAGTGAAGGAAGGAGGGAGGAAGAGGGAGAGAGAGCAGGAGAGGGAAGAAAGAAAAGAAATGACAAGAAAAGAATTCAATGACTGTTTCTCTACAATTGTAGGGATGTTGATAGTCCAGCTCTAGAGGATGATACAGATTTGGGTTCACAGTCCAGCTTTTCCATTTGCTGCTTCTGTTACCTTGGAAAAATTATTCAATCTCTTTAATCCTTGGTTTCCATCTGAAGATTGGATATAGCTATAATATTTTACTATATTTTTGTTGATACTAAAAGTAATGGCAGCCAGGCATGGTGGCTCACACCTGTAATCCCAGCAATTTGGGAGGTTGAGACAGGTGCATCACTTAAGGCCAGGATTTCAAGACCAGCCTGGCCAACATGGTGAAACCACGTCTCTACTAAAAATACAAAACTTTTTGGACTACAAAACACAGCTACTTGGGAGGCTGAGGCAGGAGAATCACTTGAAGCTGGGAGGCAGAGGGTGCAGTGAGCAGAGGTTGTGCCACTGCACTATAGCCTGAGTGACTGAGCAAGAATCTGTCTCAAAAAAAAAAAAGGAAATAAATAAAAGTAACGGCATATGGCATATGTACAAGGCTTAATCCAATACATGAATAAAAAAGATGAATGTATATATGCAGGAATCCAAAAGTATAACCTTAGTTGACTATTCAGCTCATTTAAAGGAGTGAGAAGAGGATGGAAAACCCCAATGTCTAGACATCTTTCTTTTTCAGGCCTGTACAAAGGACAAGGAAAGCATGGACTAACACATCTCAGCTGTAATTGAGTTTAGCCAGATGTACCAGCTGTCTTCTCTCATCTTCCCCTGGGGCTACAGCTTTTATAGAGTGATTGGAGTTTGCTTGAGTTCGTTTCCTTCAAGTCATGGATAAGAAAGCCAGGGTTTTGAGAGGTGATGGAAGGCCTTTATGGTAAGTTGCACTGGGTCCCAAAAACACTCCCCTTCAAGTGTGGAGCATTTCCTCTCATACTAGTGGATTAAGCCAAATAGTGTCTTTTTCTAAAAGTGTTGGTATCTATAGAATTATATTTAGAAGAAACCGTATAAGTTATCCAGAATTCCAAGCAAATATTTAGTCTTGACTTCCTGTTAGAACCACCTGAGTAACTTTCTGGAAGATACTTATACTTAAGTCATAGCTTCCCTCTTACCTCCAATAATTGAATTAAAATTTCTGAGAGTGTGGCTTATGCACAACTATTTTAATAGATTACTAAGTGATTTTTTAAACCTTTTACATAATCTTTTATAGCCACACACAAAAATGGACTGAATAGTAGAATATCTCTTTACTTAGCTTCAACAGTTGTTGATATTTTACCAGTCTTGTTCATCTGTCATGACAATACTTAAAAAAATGCTAGAGTATTTTAAACCAAATCTAAGGAATGATATAAATGAACACATGAGTATCTCAGTATGTGTCACTGAAAATGAATTTTGTTTTTGCTTCTTAAGTCTCTTTTATTTATTTTTTCTCTTCAGTTTTTATGTTCAAGGGGTGCTTGTGCAAGTTCGTTGCATGAGTAAACTGCACATCGTGGGGCTTCGGTATGCAGATAACTTTGTTACCCAGTTAATGAGCATAATACCCAATAGTTTTTCAATCCTCACTCTCCTCATAACCTCCACCCTTAAGGGGGCCCTGGTGTTTGTTTTTCCTTCCTTCGTGTCCATGTGTACTTAATGCTTAGCTCCCACTTATAAATGAGAACACATAGTATTTGGTTTTCTGTTTCTGCTTAATTCACTTAGGAAAATGGCCTTCAGCTTCATGCATGTTGTTGTAAAGGACATAATCTCATTCTTTTTTATGGCTGCATAGTATTTCATGGTATATATTACCACTTTTTTAAGGTATAGTTATTATGCCGTGTACAATTTTACAAAATTAACAATAGTGATGAGGTGATTCTAACATGCAGCCACGTTTGAGAAACACATCTTGAGCCTAGCCTTCCCATTTTATTGACGAAGAGACTGAGACCCTGAGAGGTCAGTCATGTGGTATGATGTAGGTGCTACATCTGGAATTAGTATTTAGGTTCCCCAACTCAGACTTCATTGCTAATGAAACAGCAGCAATCCAAGGAGGAAAAAAGTGCTCAAATGATTTTAAAGTTAGAACAAGGGTATCAAGAATATCCTAACAAGGGGAATGACAAAGAAAATGGCAAGGATGGGAACATCATAAAATGTGTATCAGGGCAGGGTCATAAGGTGTAAATGCGACTTCTATTTGAACCCCATCCTCCCTCTACATCAAATCATATAATGTTACAATGTTTTGTTAACTACCCTGATCATCAGTTTCCTTATCTGTGTACTGGAGATAATAATATTTGGCTTCATTTTGTGCTTTGAAGATAACATGTGATTAGTGGAAGATGATATGCACTTAGTAACACTTAGGATATGTGCCGTGGCTCCAAGCAGGGCAGCGTACCTGGATGAGAATCTAGCTCCTGTTGAATACTCCCAGTCTCTTTTTTACCACTGCCCGATAAGTTGTTTGTCTATTGCTCCCAGGATAAAATAAAATTAGATAACAGAATATTTGACAAAAATATTTTTCTAAGATGCATCTTTGATCTAAAAATAAGCTACAAAGAACTGTGAAGATACCTTGGAGATGATAGAATATTGAGGGATTTTTTTGTCATGGAGTCAGTAACTGAGGCAAAGGTCAGATTCCAAAAATGGAAGAAGATTCCAGAATTTCTGGTTGAAATGACCAAACACAAATATTGCTAATAGCTGTGTACTAGCACACATATTAAAATGCTAGTTTGGATTTGGCCACTGAATGCAGCCATTTTCTTACTGAAGATCAATCTTTAGTCTTAGCTTTGCTTATCACCAGTGTTGATGTAGTAATTGTGTTAGGAAAATTATGTAACTTCTCCAAATTTCAGTTTTCTCATATGCAATTAGAACAATGATAACTATCGCATAATTAACTAAGATTTTTTAAAGACCATGCATATTAAGTGCTTAGCACAGTACCTTCTCTTTTATAAGCATCTAGTAATCAGTAAATATCACTATTATTTAGAAAGCCTTTGACTTATAAGTTGAGTACCTGACATAACTCAAAGTCCGATGGAAAGATCATAGTATTGGGAGCTCATAGTCTTATCTCTGCCACTAGCTTGCCTATGATGGTAGTGGCACCACTTACTTTTAACACAGTTTCAGCATCTCTCAGGACAGAAAGATCGTTTTTGCTTTACAGACCTCACTGGACAAGAGAGATAACAGTTGTAAAGTACAATTCAAATATAAGATATAATCAACAACAGAGCATATGCAATTAAATGATTTAGAGCTGTAGAATTAGAAGAAAATTTCAAAATCATTTTCACAGATCTTTTCTCTTGACCAAGAGGGCCCATCCCTCTTGTCTTTTCATAGTTTAAGGCTCATAAGGATAGGTGCTGCTTCTGTTACATGCCCTCCTGGCCGTTGTTCTCTTTTCACCATATCCAGCCTCTGCCAGATTCTACTAGGGTTTTCTTCTTTATCAGGATCATTCCATAATGGTTTGTGCAAATCAAGTGTAATATGTTAGTGACATGACATAATTGATTTATGTGTACATCTGTCTTGTCTAACAGGTACAAGCCCTTAGAGGGTAGGAATTGTAATATGAAGACATGATGTAGTGTAGCATTTAACAACTCGAGCTCTGTAGCCAGATTGTTTCAAATCTTAGCTCTACCATTTTATATTCTCTAGGCCTTAGTTTCCTCACCTGAAAATAGGAGTAATTAGAGTCCTACCCCATAGGGTTATTGTGAGAATTTAATAGTTTAATATGAATGTAAAGCATGTGAAACAGTGGCTGATGTAGTAGACTGCTCTACAAAGATTAGCTTTTTATTTTTAATTTTGTTATTATTAATATTCTTTTTGATTGACAAATCACAATTGTACATGTTTATGGGATATAATGTGAGGTTTTGATATATGCATACAAGGCAGAATAGTTAAGCTAATTAACATATTTATCACCTTGTTTACCTATCATTTTTATAGTGAGACACTTGAAATTTACTTAGTTATTTCAAAATATATAATACTTTATTACTGAGTATACCAACTCTGTTGAGCAATAAATCTCAAAATTTATTCCTCTTGTCTATTTGAAACTTTGCATCCTTAGATCCAAACTTTTCATTACCTTTCTTCCTAAAGCTGCAGCCTTGCCTCTGGTAACCACCATTCTACTCTTTACTTCTATGATTTAACTTTACTAGATTTCCCATATAATTGAGATTATACAGTATTTGTTTTTCTGTACCTGGCTTATTTCAGTTAGCATAATGTCCTCTAGATTCATCTGTGTTGTCAGAAATTGCAGTATTGTCATCTTTTTCCAAGACTAAACAGTATTATGTTGTCTATGTTTGCCACATATTCTTTTCTTTTCTTTTCTTTTCTTTTTTTTTTTTTTGAGATGAGGTCTCACTCTGTCATCCAGGCTGGAGAGCAGTGGTGCGATCTTGGCTCACTGCAACCTCCACCTCCCAGGTTCAGGTGATTCTCCTGCCTCAGCCTCCCAAGTAGCTGGGACTACAGGTGTACGCCACCACACCCACCTAATATTTTTATTTTTTTAGTGGAGACAGTGTTTCACTATGTTGGTCAGGCAGGTCTCGAACTCCTGACCTCATGATCCGCCTGCCTCAGCCTCTCAAATTGCTGGGATTACAGGCGTGAGCCACTGCGCCTGGCCTATAGGCCACATTTTCTTTGTCAATTCATCTGTTGATAGACAGGCAAATTTTATATGTTATATCTTGGCTATTGTGAGTAATACTGCAATGAACAAAGGCTTGCAGATATCCCTTTGACATGTTGATTTAAGTATCTTTGGATATATAGTCAGCATTAGAACCCCAAAAGTATAGGCAACAAAAGTATAAATAGACAAATGAAATAGCATCAAATTAAAAGGCTTTTGCACAGAAAAAAATAAAGTGAAGAGACAACTCAGAGAATGGGAGAAAATATTTGTAGATCATACATCTGATAAGGGGTTAATAGCCAAAGCATATAAAGAACTCAAACAACTCAATAGCAAGAAAGCATATAACCTAATTAAAATATGGGCAAAGGACCCATACAGATACTTCTCAAATGAAAGTTAGCTTTTAGAATAACATATATTAAATATCCAGGTGTTCACCATGCCCCTTAAAGGGTCTGACAAGTGGAGAAACTTGGCAAATATTAACTCCTTCTCCCAAAAAGTGGAAAGTCTCTTCAGCTCAATCACTAACAATGGCAAAAATTTCGAACCTATTTATGAGTTTAAGACCAGATATCAAAAGAAATCCTCTGCGCCACTATGTTTCCTGAGAACCAAGAAAAAATATCTTTACTTATATGTAGACACGGAGCTCAGAAAGAAGCAATGATCTTGGAGGGTCTAATCAAATACATAGACCCTCTGAGCTTTTAGATTTTCATCATGAGGTAAAGTCAGAAATTCTACCTTCCATGCAGTGTAGTTTTTAGGACTCTAGAAAATATAAATAAATTGCTGACACTTTTACTATGCTGCACTTTCTAAGCAATAACTATTATTGGTAATATTAGTATGATTATGATGATGATGATTGGATACTATAAATGGAATACAGAAGACACAGTAGAAAGTCATTCTCTCTTTGGCTATTTTTCCATGAAATTGAGGATGTTGAACAGGCTCTTTTGAACGAACTGGCAAACCCTTGCAAAGCATCAAACTGAGTACTGTGAAATAATGTATCAGCCACATGGAGGCCAGGGCACAGTATCAGTATGATTAAAGGGAAAACAAGGAGAGAGACCCTGTACATGCTCAATTTAAATTGGCTTGAATTTCAGATACAGCATCAAATAATTTTGTTTTTTTCCACAGAACAAGGATGAAGCCTGTGGTATTAGGTTTTGACTATTTCCCAAGGCTGTCACAGCACTCAAACTAAAAAAAAAAAAAAAAAAAAAAAAAAAAAAAAAAAAAAAAATAAGGTTATATTTTCTCTTTAAAACATAAACATTAAATAAATTCCAAGAAACGTAATTTTTTTTATTATACTTTAAGTTTTAGGGTACATGTGCACAATGTGCAGGTTTGTTACATATGTATACATGTGCCATGTTGGTGTGCTGCATCCATTAACTTCTCATTTAACATTAGGTATATCTCCTAATGCTATCCCTTCCCCCTTCCCCCACCCCACAACAGGCCCAGGTGTGTGATGTTCCCCTTCCAGTGTCCATGTGTTCTCATTGTTCAATTTCCACCTATGAGTGAGAACATGCGGTGTTTGGTTTTTTGTCCTTGCGATAGTTTGCTGAGAATGATGGTTTCCAGCTTCATCCATGTCCCTACAAAGACATGAACTCATCCTTTCTTATGGCTGCATAGTATTCCCTGGTGTATATGTGCCACATTTTCTTAATCCAGTCTATCATTGTTGGACATTTGGGTTAGTTCCAAGTCTTTGCTATTATGAATAATGCCGCAATAAACCTACATGTGCATGTGTCTTTATAGCAGCATGATTTATAATCCTTTGGGTAAATACCCAGTAATGGGATGGCTGGGTCTAATGGTATTTCTAGTTCTAGATCCCTGAAGAATCACCACACTGACTTCCACAATAGTTGAACTAGTTTACAGTCCCACCAACAGTGTAAAAGTGTTCCTATGACTTTCTTCACAGAATTGGAAAAAACTTCTTTAAAGTTCATATGGAACCAAAAAAGAGCCCACATTGCCAAGTCAATCCTAAGCCAAAAGAACAAAGCTGGATGCATCATGCTACCTGACTTCAAACTATACTACAAGGCTACAGTAACCAAAACAGCACGGTACTGGTACCAAAACAGAGATATAGACCAATGGAACAGAACAGAGCCCTCAGAAATAATGCTGCATATCTACAACTATCTGATCTTTGACAAACCTGACAAAAACAAGAAATGGGGAAAGGATTGCCTATTTAATAAATGGTGCTGGGAAAACTGCCTAGCCATAAGTAAAAAGCTGAAACTGGATCCCTTCCTTACACCTTATACAAAAATTAACTCAAGATGGATTAAAGGATTAAATGTTAGACCTAAAACCATAAAAACTCTGGAAGAAAACCTAGGCAATACCATTCAGGACACAGGCATGTGCAAGGACTTTATGTCTAAAACACCAAAAGCAATGGCAACAAAAGCCAAAATTGACAAATGGGATCTAATTAAACTAAAGAGCTTCTGCACAGCAAAAGAAACTACCATCAGAGTGAACAGGCAACCTACAGAATGAGAGAAAATTTTTGCAATCTATTCATCTGACAAAGGGCTAATATCCAGAATCTACAAGGAACTCAAACAAATTTACAAGAAAAAAACAAACAACCCCATCAAAAAGTGGGCGAAAGATATGAACAAACACTTCTCAAAAGAAGACATTTATGCAGCTAACAGACACATGAAAAAATGCTCATCATCACTGGCCATCAGAGAAATGCAAATCAAAACCACAATGAGATACCATCTCACACCAGTTAGAATGGCGATAATTAGAAAGTCAGGAAACAACAGGTGCTGGAGAGTATGTGGAAAGGTAACTTTTTCTTCTAGTAAATATGATCATGTTAAGACACCAAGCTTCTCAAGACTAAAAGAAAAAAGGTTAAATATACAGGGTTAAGAGGAGGTGAAAGTGAATTAGTGCTAAATCAAATGGGCATTATCTCTTAAAGGGTGATGCAGTTATTACAGACAATGTTTCAGTAACGCTGATGAACAAGATGGACTTTATTTAAAAATATATAATCTTATTCTAAGAAGAGGCAATAATAGATTATAGGACAGAATCAATTACCAATTTCTGTCAGATTCTTCATGACTTTTATTCGTCATGCTTGTTAAATGAGCATTACTTTACATTCCTCATTCAGCAAGTCTTTTGAAAGTGAAAGTTTTATTACATTTCCCAGGGAGCAGAATGAAATATATCTGAATGTTTAAACCTACATAGATAAGTCAGTTTCACTAACTTTGAACTCTCCTTGCTCTAATAAATCCTGCCTACCTTTTGTATGAATGGCCAGGCCAAAATATGCAAAGTTACCAGAGATATTTAATTCCTAGAATATGAAACAACCCTGGATTATCCTAGGAGAGACAATCACCATGCTTTTTGGGGTTTGCTCATTCATAAATACAAATGAGCAGGACTGATTCGATTAATAAATTAATTAACATAAATAATATTACTAGGAGAAATAATTCACACAAAGGAAATTTGACATTTGCTAAAAATGCACAGGTAAAATTTAGACTTACCAAAATTGACCCAGAAAAACTACATGGTAGCAACAGCGTCCACAGAGAAAACTCACAATGATGGATGACAGCATTGATAAGATTGATAAGAGTGAGAAAACAGAAGAAATCAATTTATCGATTCCATTGGGAATAGTGTAAACAATGCTGAGATATAAATTAATTCCTGAGGTATGGTGATTGAGTTAACTCCACATACTAGGAACACAGATAAATCCCCCACATACTCAGAAAGAATCATCACACCCACACCCTCCAACATTAAGTAAATAAATGAGTATCTACACATAAACAGATTATCCTAAAGTTTGTAATATCTGTATCAGATGTCTCAAAGCAGCAGATTTTGTGCAAAACCTGATTTTAAGTATTTTGTGGTCAGCACAGTGTTTACAAAAAAATTGAAATCCAAAACCATGAGTTATCATTTAAAAAATTATGTTTCCATGGAAAAGACTGGGTTTGTAACCTTTTTTGAAACATCTGTTCTGGAACTTCTGAGCTCCTATTTCCACAGATAGCAACCGGATGGTGTAGAGCACTGTCTGAGCCCTTTAGGTAGAGCATGTACCTGATAGAAATCACTCAGTTATGCAACGCACATGGCCCCTGTAAGTATTTGTGTTTAAAACCCCTCCTGAAAGCCCTTGAGATGTGAGAATGCCAAGAAGCATCCTGTGCAATTCCAAGAAACCTCTTCCTTTTCCAAGAAATTGGCTCGCTACACACAGGCAAGATGGGCACATTTTCAGATCTCCAGCTTCCTGGGCTGCAGCAACTTAATTCATGGTATTGTGAAGAGGATTAAAAAATATAATGCATGAAAATATCAAGCACAGTGTTTGTCTCATAATAGATGCTTGGGAAAAGATAGCCATGATAATGACCATTCACTGAAGAACTCTATTTAGTCATAGTTCTCTGATGTTTAAAAGGAAAAAGAAAGATAAACAAAATACACCTTACTTGTGGATAGTGGAACGATATTGCTGTGCTGTTACACATCTGTAAGGCTAATGTTAGAGATTGCTATGAAATATTACCATCTGGTCAGTCAAGGCTCTGTTCTCAGGCATGGGGGGTGGAAAGTATCACTGTCTAGGGGTACTCCCTCCCATGGGGGAGGTAGCAGAAGTAAACTTCACTTGTCTCTTCCTGTGCCCGTTTAAACTATCAATGTCTCCAGAGAGATTTCTCATTATGAAAGCTGAGGTAGCTCAGTGGTTATTAAATACCATATCACATTTCATATCCCCTTTTTAGTCGGTAAGGTATATATTTTCTCACTCACATATAGTATGCGAGAATTTAACCTACTAAAAAGTTTGGTTATCAGTAATTCCCTAATAATGATAACATAATAAATATAGTCCTTGCAATCACCATCATTTATAAGTTGGAACTTCATGACAAAATTTATTCTGAGAAAGAATCAAAATTATAAAAGGTAGAATTCATAAAACAAAGCTGTAAGTAAAATTTAAGAGTTGTTATTTATAAACTTTATTGTGATGGCAGAACTTTAGAGTTCTGATTTATAACATAAATCGCTTATATCTCAAGTGTAAAATAAGGTTGGGAAAATGAAATCCCTTTATTTCAGATTTATTGCATGATTTGTAAACCTGTCCCTCTGTTTATATATTCTTTCCTGTGCCATGTCCATAAGTTTTGAATGTTTCAGGATTTTCATGTATGTTTGATAATCAATCACATACTTTCAAAAACTGTGACTAGCTGTGATCCCTAAAGAATGTGTATAAATCCTAGACTAGTTCTTCCATTTAACAGGAAAAGATTTATATGTGGCAAGTATATTCTCTAGTCTGGGTTGATTCAAGTATAACTTTATAAATAAGAAAAACAATAACATTTCTTTAACCTGCATTCAGTTTCTGAGTCTGAATCCTATCTGGGAGTATAGCATGCTCATCCAAAAGGAGCCATCTCTTTAGAAAGCCTGAATCTCCTTGGCTAATAGTACTTTATTTCTCTAAGAGACTGCAATAAAAAATAACAATAGTTGCCTTGATGTTTGGAACTATTTTATAGAAAAGGTATAACCAAAAGTGCACTGCACAGGTAATTGTCTTGAGAACTAGGTTTCATTAGTTCTGTCACATATTAACTGTGCAGCTCTCTGCATGTCACTGCCTCCTGGGTATCTTCTTCTATAAATTAAGAAGGCTAGACTCTTGAGGACACTTCCAGGATGAATCGTGTGTGAATCAGTGTTTCTACCATCTACACCAGATTCTCACAATGACTTGGTCTTTCTAGAGTTGTTTCAGGTGACCAATTTTATTGATCTTGCTCAATAACAGAGATTATGCATTTTACTTCCTTTGTAATCTATTTTTGGCATAGCTGCACCTTCTGCATGAAGTAGTTTAGCCACTTACTGGCATGTATTCGTCCAGCTAGCCAGCCAGCCACCCAGCTACTCATCCATTCTTCCATTTATCCATGCCCCAATTAATTCCCTTATCCAATCATTCATTCAACAAAGATTAACAGAACAAACACCACTTACAATGTTGTTAGTGAGGCTTTCTTGGAAGAATTGTGTTAAGATATAAACTTACAAGGAATTTCTTTCTGGTTTTTATAGAACATGGGGGAACCTGTGTGGTTGCTTAGTAGATGTTTTGGAGCCAGATACCATCTGGGTTCAAAATCCAACTCAACTCCAGGCCTATCAAGGTCAGATGGTGCTGAAAACTCTGATTTTACTTCCACCTAAATTCTCCTCATACAGGGGTTACCTCTCCATCCAGACCTCTCCTTATGTAGCACAAGTCACTAGTCTCCTATCTCCTGCATTATTATTTACAGTTTCTTCCTGGCTGCAATGCACACCAACAATCTGTTTTTGCTTTTCAGCACAGAGCATTCTTTATGTTGGCTCTCTCTCTCTCTTTCTCTCTCTCTCATATGACCTTGTATTTTGAAATATTATATTAAACTTGCATTTATCAATGAATGGGAGAGAATGAAATTTAGAGACAATTTTTCATGTCATTTTGCTAGGCATTTTATATAGATTATCTCATTGTTTCCTGACAAGAATCTTTCATAGTAGATATTCTTGTCCCCATTTTATAGATGCAAAAAGGTTAGGTCACCTTTTCATGGATACACTCTGAGATACTAACTTACTTCTATTTTCTGCCTCCAAAATCTAGCCTTGCTCTAAAATGCTTCATTTCCTAGTCTTTACTGATCACAGCTAGAAAGAACTGCTGATCTGTAATCCTAGTATAGATACGACAACCAATATTTTCTAATGTAAAACATTTCCAGAATTTGCTTATTTTAGAGACGTGCCTAATTTCTGCTAGACTTTTTGAAATAGTGATAATAGCTTAGAGGTATTCAATTATTACCTTTTTCTTCCAATTATAACCCTAGAGACCTAGGAATTGAAAATTGTGAACCATCCTATATGCCTCCCCAGGATGATCTTTTACCAAGGCTTAAACCAATTTGCAACTCAATGGCTTTACTTGCCAAAGCAAACTACCAGCAACCACATACAGATATGCTTTGTAACTTAATGAAATTAATTCGTTAAGTCCTCACAAATATCCTATTTGCTCAGTACTATTTCCCCTGTTTAAGTGAATTTCCCAGGTCACACAGCTAGTAAATTTTACAGCTAATATAGTAGAATAGGAGGCTTGTTCCTCCAACAGGTTCTGACTTTAAATTTTAAGGCCTGTATGTTTTGAGGTTCCTTGACCTTTTCCTTCTCACTGTTTTCCAACATGAGTCAGTCACCTCTCAGTAATGGGTCACACCAAAACCCACTGTCAACTCTCTCTTTGTTCATTTATTTCTCCCACTTAGAATGTTTTCCTGATAACAACAAACCACTAAAATTTTTCTGAGAACTTGCTATAGGGAGCAATTTATAAGCATTATCTTATCTAATGCTCACTACAGTTCTTTCTGTTAAGTATCATTACCTCCATTTGTCAAACGAGAAGCCTGAGGAAATGGAGAGAGGTTAAATGTATTGCCCAGGGTAAAAATTATAGAACTGGGGTTGGTTTCAGGTCTGAATCCACCAGCCATTATAGTAAATACCATCATACTGTCTTAACAAGGGAAAGCCCAAATCCAAATTTAAAAATGGAGTGTAACAGAAATAGTGTGGTTTTGGTGTTAGCATACATTTTCAGTGGAAGTAGTATGTCTCCCATTGGGAAAAAATAGTTGTTGTGTTTTTTTTTTTTTGAGCCTATAAATAAATCTTAGATATTGCAATGGTTTGTGCCTTCCAATAGGCCCCAAATACATAAACGAATATACAAGATATCTGTAGTATGAAAATGTCATGGCAGGAGTGGAGAGGTGAATAGGAACAACAATGCCTAAAACAACTACTGGAAGAAAAGTGATCATTTATAAAAGGCCAAGGACCTTGCACTCAAATCTCCAGACAGAAGATTTTGTTGGTTGACTATGGAAATATGCTCCAGGTAGATTATATATCTTAATTTCTGCCCAGAAAAATATATAGAAGAAGGGGTGAATTGCATGCCCCTGGGCTACTTTAACCTAATGTTAGTTGTTTCAGTCAGATTTTTAGCAAAAAGAACGTTCAAGGTTGAATGTGGTAAGATACCCAGATCCAGATACTATGATTTCCTTTTAAGACAGAAAGGGTATTTGAGTGTCCAGATGAAACTGCTAACACATTCAATAAGCAGTTATGAAAGTTCTACTATAGTGTGCTGTCACTGTCCAACATATTAGAAACACAAAGACAAAAAGAATATGGTCTCTGTTGTTGAGAAGCTCACAGTCTAGTTGACTACTTCTAAAATGCTAGTGATGGAACTTCATAACAGGGCTTTCAAATGTACCATTGCCCCAAAAGCTATTTCCACACCTAATAACCTATTCGAATGTAAGCTCCTCTGCTTTAACTCCTTTTCATCATTAAAGATTACATTTCAAAACCGTCTGCATAGGAAACCATTGCCTGGCTGCCTGCAATCAAATCTAAGGTAAATGCCCATGCAAGTCTTCATGTAACCCATATCGCATTTGTATACATTTGTTCAATATCAATTGATTTGATGGTCTATAGGCTGTGAGGGCAGAATCTACTTTTATTTACCTTGGAATTTGTACAGTGACTGGTTTATAATAAGAATTAAATAATTACTTGGTGTTTATGCCATTGAATGGTTGACGGCAATCCAGAATCAATTTAATGAGAACTTTATGAACACTATTCATGCATCAGACACTGTGTTAGGCACTTAAGATATAAAAGACTGATGTTTTGCTTTCAGGGACTGTATGGATTAGTTAGGATTAGAGCCAGATTGAAAAAAAAATGAGAAGATAATCTCTTCCTCAGCAAGTAGACTATTTGAGTAATAATTAAAATTTACAAAATGTTTTCACAATTAATATCACATATGGGTCAAATAATAAATTGTTGTACAATGTAATCCCTTATTTCCATTTTACAAATGGACAATTTTAGGCCAAGCGAGGTTTTGTGTCCTGCCGTAATCACATGGGTCGAGACAACATGCAGGGACTCAGTCTATCGCTTTCAGCTGTATGGTTCCCCCGGGAAGTGTTTTGACTCAAAGCCAAAAAGTCAAGGCTCATGTGCAGTTAAGAGTGTTTTTGAACCTGGAAAGAAAGTGTATCTATCACTGGATTTGCGGGGTTCTCCTGCATGAAAGACAGTTATTTTAAATGTTTCCTAGAGTATCAACAGGTAGTATATAATTGATCAAGCATTTGGGGAGTGAAGTGACTGAACATCATCCCAAAGGAAGGCTTACCATCAGAGAATTACCGTTCTTTGGCTTCCCTTGACAAGGGGTATAAATCAGCAGGTGGATGTGCCTGTCTTGCTTGGAGAAATTGCAGCTTTATAAATAAAAACACTAATCCATGCTGCTGCTGACCAGCTTCTGCCGCCAGCTCACAATTTCAGTCTCTCACCAGCCTGCCCTGGCGAACTTTTCCATTGTCAGTGTTGAATATTTTGTATTGTTTTAAATACAATTTTGTTAAATAGTAATGAAGAAAAATACAAACTCATTTAGAACATTTGGACAATGTAGGATAATATTTATAATATTTTAAAAATAAAAATCATTCATAATCTCACTACCCAGAGAGAAGATCCACTAATATTTTGGAATATTTCCTCCAGTATATTTCTTCTATAATAACAGGGGTTTTTTCCCATAATTGAGTTAATTAAATGTATAAGTTTGCTTTTTCTTTAAACTTGATAATAGATTATATCATTTTCATTTGCTATTATAAAATCTTTGTATATAAAATGCACTGGCTTTAGATTTCATCACATGGAAAATCACTGTTTAACCCATTCTCTATTTGGAAAATTTGGTGATATTTGGTTCTAATTTTTTACTCCTTTAATTAACACAGTGGTGAGTGTCTTAGTGGCCACAGCTCCTTTCTTGTTTTTCTGGATTTATTTCCTATATTCCTTCAACAAACAAGCATGGGCCATCTATTATACTCATGGATATTTTAGGTGTTGGAGATACAATGAAAAGCCAAAGAGCCGTCTTCCTGTTGACGTGGAGCTTACATTCTGTGTTGGACATTAACGAATGAACAGTCTCTGGGATGAAAATGTCAGATTAGAAGCATAGAGGAGTCTTTAGGAGTACAAAGGAGGGCAGATAACCCAGATGTAAAGTTTATGATAAGGCTTCCTGGAGTAAGTGATTTTAAAGGATAAAAATAAAAAATGGGAGTAAAAAAGAAAAGGAAAAACTAGTTAATATAGTTAGAATGGTGTGCATGATTCCTTTGGGGATCTCAAATATATTTATTATCTTGAGATACTCAAAATGAGCAATGAGAATGTTGAGGTTGAAGATTAACAAGCACAAAGATTATAAAGGACAAGTTTAAGACTTTATTTGAGATACTGACTTTAACCCCAAGGGTAGTATAGAACTATTAAGGTATTTTATGTGGGAAAGTAGTACGGTGAGATTTCTGTAAAGTAAGATTCCTAGAAACTGAATTACTGGGATATAGAAGATGCCTTTTAGTTTCCTGAAATATGTTGGGAAACCATTTTCCAAAAGCGTTACCATAATGCTTGCCTTCCCATTGGCCTCATACAAGAAAGGCCATTTGTTATTGGGTATAATGATGTCTCACATTTACTGGAACACATTTGTGCTCTTGGTACTATACTAGCTGGTACTTTACATTCATTTGCTTAGTGAGGCCTTACAGAAATCTTTTAGGGTTGAAAATATTGCTTCCATTTAACAAAATTTCTTAAAAGTTACAAAGAAAGAATAATTTTCCCACAGTCATGGAAGAAGTAAATAGCTGGACTTAGGGTCAAATCTAAGCATGCTTGAGTCTTAGAGTCCATTCCCCCTCTTAATAAGCTTCAACACCTTTCAACTCATTATCGATATATATAATTCCCACAGAATATAATACCACACTCATTATCTTGCCTAGGTTTTATTTCTATAAGACTTTTATAAAATTTGTATAGACTTATCTGGAATTTGACTTCTCTTAGGAAAACCATTTTTGAAAGAACAAGAACACAAAGGTTAGGTGACGGGAGACAGGCTTAGTTACAGGCAGATGGCGTGTTTACACAGTACCCTTTATCTTCCCTATTACCACTACAGAACAGCTGTTTATCTGTTTCCCCCAGATTAATGTTAGCAATGGATCAGATGCAGTTGTCCTGCAAGGTGCCTGACCTCAGGATGTAATAAAAGTAAATAACTAAGTTTAGAAGGAGGCTTACTTCTCAATGATATCAGGCTGGAACGATAGACAGCCCTTTGTCTCTCTAGGCCTTACTCTGGCTACATTCATGACTGAATTATTCCATGTTTGTAGACTCCTCACAGCACAATATGGAGCTGTCCATCATTGCTAATTGTCAGTGAAGTTTCTCTTCACTGCTTGGGCAGCCTTAAAGTGTGAACCCAACTGTGGCTTCAATATTTGCAATCGATTCCCTTCTCCTCAGTTTGATTGCAATTATATTCATTGAACACAGTCCACCAAGGATTTGAAAATAAATTTCATACTGAAATTTGAAAGATCTTGCAAAATGTATAGAAATATTACCTAAGACAGATATTGGAAAAGAGCAATGATGTAGATCCATTGAATGAGGCAAAATGGTTTGCCCTCTTACCAGCTATGGTAACTTAGTCTCTTTAAATGTCAGTTTCTTTCTTTTTCCAGTGATGACAATAATGATACCTATTGTGATGTTGAAGAGTAAATGCCATTATTTATCAAATATATCTAACACTGTATCTGAGACAGGAAAAGGAAGTCCTCCTTAAAAATAGATTATCAAAAATATTAAATAAAATTATTTAAATATATTGTATATGGTTTGTTGCTATTTATCATTTTTACATTATTTATTCAGTTATTTAAAATATAGCTTAACATTTTATTGCATGGAATTGAGAAAACCATCCTGATGGAATAGTGTGATAAAAACCACTACAATTGCTAGCATCAAAAGCCCTAAATTTGAGTCCCAGATTTACCACTGTGGTTCCTTATAAAAGTCATGTACCCTCTTGTGCTTCCATTCTATCATCTTATCTTGGGTATCTTAGGATCTGCCATATGCTTCACAGTGTTATGAAAATTACTTGGCACTTTCCAAGTAGATTATTCTGTGGTGTATTCAATTTCAGCCTTTTTCTGAACAGACTCGAAGTCCCAAGTGACCTGAGAGAAGAAATATGGCTATGTCTTTAACTCTAAGATAAATAAGAGGGTAAAAGCTCAGACAACAGGGCAATTTTCCATGGCCCATAAAAGAAGGCAAGTCCTTCAGGCTGGCAATTCAGAGTCAGGCCCTAGGGTTGATTTCTTTTCTTCTTGGAGCACATTGACAATAGCCACAGATGGAGTTCATGGACCAAAAGGCAGCTCACAGAAGCAGGGAGGTGACCATGTCTGTTCAGAGTGTGGCTGGCTGTGAGGAACCAGGCTTCATCCTGAGATGATGGCCCAAGATAGCCATCACAGCTGCAGACTTCACAGAACATTAGCTTCAGAAGTCACTTTTTAGGTCACACACAAAACCCATCTCTTTTATGGCCACACAGCACAGGCTGGCTCCCAAGCTCCCACTTTTAGCCTCAGAAAATCACCTGCCACCATGCCTTCTTAGGCAGTAGCTCTGCAGCCCTTCAGGTGGGACCTGCTAGGACAGGTATAACTTTGGCCACCTGCATTGCATAAACGTCCCTTTTGCTTGACCTTGTTTCATCATTAACCCTTTTCCTCTCATTTTGACCTTCACCCTCAGGTTTGATGACTCCTGCTATTTAGGGCCCTGCATATATTCTTCTCTTGTCTTTGAGCCACACTAAGTTTCTAGAGTTTTCAACGTTGCTATTTCTGTGACAGTACTGAAAACGAGAATGTATCATCTCCTATGTGTTACATATGATACAACACACAAGAGGCAACTGGAACCCCAAAAAGTTAAAGAAAGTATCTTATTAATGCTTTGGGCATAAAATATGTAGGCTATATCTATATTTTTCCTGTTAAAATAATTGGAGAGAACACAAGTATGCACGTCAGGGCTCTTTTAAAGAGAAGTTTTCTTGGCATGTGCATTATCACATACATCCTCCTTAGAGAGCTGGGGATAAAGAACAAATTTAACTTACAGAGTGATGGCAAATGATATTCAGCTGGCTTAAACATCCTTAAATACATTACTATAGTTCATGACTACATCTACTATTATGTAATCAAAAGAGTGTCAAGATTTTTCATACCATTATGGCAGAGATCAGTAAACTACGATTCATGAGCCAAATTTTGATTGCCACCTATTTTTGTAAATAAAGTTTTATTAGAACATGGCCATAATCATTTGTCTTCATATTGTCTGTGGTGTGCTTGCATTGCAATGACAGAGTTGAGTAACTGTCACAGAGACCATATGTCTTGGAAAGCCAAACTATCTAGCCTTTTACAAAGTTTGCCTTATGGCAAAGAGAACATATAGGATCCAAACTATGGCAATGTGTCCAACTATGACCTGTTAGAGTAACTTTTTTCTGTTAACTATCTGAGACACAAAGGAGCTCAGTGTGTTTATTAAAAACCATATGAGACTTTTTTTGTTCTAGATATTTGACTTACTACAATTCTTCGACCTGATTTAAACATTTCCCAAGACATGAAATACAATTAAACAAACAAATCCCAACTTGGAAACAGAACTGAATCCTTGCTTATACAGACGATGTTCCATGATCATCATGATAAAGGTAGATTGTCATCATCCTGCTCACTCTTGGAAGGAACTAGCAGCATGATGCCAATGAACAGTGCAGAATGACCTTGGTTACACCAAAATGACCTTTGAAAGTGGTTCATCTAGAGTTCAGAATTGTTGCCCTGCGAATATTTCTTTCAGTAGAGTTTAACTATGTTGTTATTTCTCTCTCTTTCTCATGTGACTAAGTTCTTGGAGAAGAGGGACTATATTTTGTTTTGGTTTTTTTCTCAGTTGCCTCAACAGCTAGTACAATGTCTGACACTTAGTAGATCCACAGTTAGTGTTCATTGAACTGAATTGAATAAGTAGTGTTTTCCAAATATATATAACACTATCCATTGGCTATAGTTACAGGCATTCTGAATCACTTATCCCTCGCCGGCTCACACTTTGGAGGCTGAAAAATCTCACTACTGCTTTATCAACATCTCCTGCAGCTAGAGAGGGCCACATGACAGTTTAGTTAGTGATACATAAGCAACTACTGATTATGGAGTTTCTGGAAGTCTCCTGTGTATCTGATAACAGGAGCAGACACAAATGACAGTGTCTCTTTCCATCTTTTTCTTGCCTTAAACATGGAAGCGATGCCTACTGCTAGGAAAGCTAATTTGTGAATATAAGACAATTAGCCAATATATTGTGAAGAGTAGAGTAGAAAGGTAAACAGAGTTTGGGTGTTTATAAGGAGTCCCTCCACTAGCCTCAGACTGTTTATATCCAGATTTCTTGTTTCATTAGAAATGTAAAACCCTATTTGTTTAAGCCTTTGTTAGTTTGAATATCTGTTACTTCTGGCTAAAAATATACCTAATTGTCTCAACAATATTTGTGGAAAGAACATCAACCTGGAGATCAATTAAAATAACAATTCTCACAAACTATTCCTATAAAAAATCTTGGGGCTGGGCATGGTGGCTCACGCCTATAATCCTAACACTTTGGGAGGCCGAGGCTGGTGGATCACTTGAGGTCTGGAGTTTGGGACCAGCCTGGTCAACATGGTGAAACCCCATCTCTACTAAAAATACAAAAATTAGTCAGGCATGGTGGCAAGCGCCTGTAATCCCAGCTATTTGGGAGGCTGAGGCAGGAGAATCACTTGAACCCGGGGGGAGGCAGAGGTTGCAGTGAGCCAAGATCACGCCATTGCTCTCCAGCCTGGGTGACAAAAGTGAAACTTCTTCATTAACTAGAAAAGCCTCATTCTAGAAGGGCATCTTTGCAGGAAGATAGTGGAGAAGAGAAATTAAATTGTTAATCATCTACTACATTCCAGGGACTCTACTTAGTCTTTTGTTTTTCTAATGTCATTAAATCCACACATTGACACTCTTAGGTGGTATCATTAATTCATAGATGATACGATGTGTTGAGAGGTTAAGAACTTTGTTTAAAAGGCATAAATCTAGGAAGCAACAAAAGTGCAATTCAAAGCAAGTTCTTTATAACTCTGAAATCCATATTGATTCTAAAATATTGTGCTACTTTTTAAAGAAATGAACTTTGGCTAATTTCTAGACTGTCCATGAATATTAGAGAAGCAAACTCAAATAAAACATTCCCTGGAAAGAAAAATAAATCCCCTTTCCAGAAATCAGATATAGGCTTTTCAATCCAGGGCACTCAAACTTCCACCTCTCAGATTTGACTGTTATTATTAAATAAAGGCATCTTCATTTTTTTTCTAATAGGACTCTCAAAACCCAGGGAGTCACCAAGCCTTGATGTACAATACAGAATAGAATACAGAAGCTAGAAAGCCTTATATGTATCTCTTTGTTATATACCAAGAAAGTGAAACCATAGCTGTGCCTTCTCATTCAGCAATGATGCTGCTGTGTACTCAATTGTGTCCCTCCTAAATTCATATGCTGAAGCCCTAATTCCTATTGTGATGGTATTTGGAGATAGGGCCTTTGGGTAGTACTTAGGTTTAGTTGAGGTCATAAGGGTGGGAACCCATGATGGGATTAGTGCCATTATAAAAAGAGACACCAGAGAGCTTACTCTCTTACTCTCTCCTCACCAAGTGAAGACAGAGAGAGAAAGGGGCCATCTATAAGACAGGATGAAAGCCCTCACTGGGGTTCAATGGAGCTGGTGCTCTGATCTGCTACCTCTAGCCTCCAGAACTGTGAGCAAATAAACTGTTGTTTAAGCCAGATAGTCTATGGTATTTTGTTATGGCAGCCTGAAATGATTCAGAAAGATTTTCTGCAGGACTAATGGGTATATCTTTTCTACTTCCCTTTTTCAGTCAACAGAACAGATGAAGAGAACTCAGAATTACAAAATTTGTTTCCAACTCCACTACACCCATTTTTGGAAGATCTGTTTTGAATCCACGTTTCCAAGGATGATTTAGAAAAAGACAGCAAACTGAACAAAGCCCTGAGGAAATATTAACAAGTACAACCTTTCCCTGGAAGCAATACACATTTTCCTGGTGCCTGTTTATTGTCACCTTTATCTCCTTACTTGGGCTTGACAGCAAGTGGTGAACCAGGATTTATCTTGTTGAGGCTCAAAGCTTTAGTGGTGTTGTCATTCGCCAGTAGCTCTGGTTCCTCTCAGCAAAAACAGTGGAAAACACTTTTAATTGTAAAATACATTATGTTTAACTTCCACTAAAAAAAAAAGATGGTGAAGGAAAAAGTTTTTTGTGTTTTTATTTTGTAGATCAAAACCTAGTATTTATTTTGGAAAGATGGGTACAGTTATTTTTTCCCCATGTTTGTTCTATTCCCTTTAAGCTTCTAAAGGAACAAACAAAAAATAGCTTAACTGAAACTAACAAAGGATGATGAAACACTTTTAAGTCTTCAAAAAGGTAATATTGGATACTTGCAATTGCTAGCAATATTTGGAGTTAAGGGATAATGTTTAAAACTCAACTGAACTTTCTTTACAGTTGTAAGGATTTCTAAGAGTGAGATTCTAGGCCCTAGAATATTACCTTGGTTCGATAGACATCATTGTTACCTACATTTTACAAACAGAAAAAGCGAAGATGAAGAAATTTGTGTTACTTGGGCCTGGTCACATTCCTAGCACCTGATGTGTTCAGGCTACAACCAAAGATTTTGGGCTCCAATTCTAATGTTCCTTTCAATTTACTACATTGTCTAGTAAGAGTGGATTTGCTGGTGGTTGCAGAGGTAAGAATAATGACAAGCATGTTTTGAGCACTTACACAATGAACAGGGTCTCTATTAGACTCTAGGGGTAAAAACAAGAAATGAAGACCGTTCTGTGCAAGCAGATCCAAGTACATATTTACTAAAAATGAAAGAGCATGACTATGGTTCAGTCCAACATTATTTTTGAACATCTAATCTGGCAAAGTTGATTTGCTCTTGGAGTAGCTTATATAGAACGGAAACATGTCAGGATCAGAGAGAGTCCTAGGGGTTATCTTTCTCAAATACTCATCCAGTACCTGCATGCCCTTCATCAAGTGTTCAACCTCGCTTCCACCTGAAAATGTTAGGTGCAAATAACTCCCTCTTTGTTCAGAAGCTGATTTAATCTCTGGCAAACTCTGCCTGAAATAATTTTTTTATTAGTGTGCATTCCACAGTCAGATTTCTAGAATGAAATATTAGCCCCATCAATTACTTATTGTGTTGCTTGGGGCAAAATTACTTGACCTGTCTATTCTTCAGTTTTCTCACGGGCAAAATAGAGATAATAATAGTATTTCATTTATAGTATTGTTTTGTGGATTAAATTATTAAACACATGAATAGCATTCACAACACTGTGCATCATATAGTAAGTGTGCATCATGGCACTTACACACATACATATATAATCTTTTTTTTTTTTTTGAGATGGAGTCTCGCACTGTCACCTGGGCTGGAGTGCAGTGGCATGATCTTGGCTCACTGCAACCTTCACCTCCCAGATTTAAGCGATTCTCCTTGCCTCAGCCTCCCAAGTAGATGGATTACAGGTGCCCAGCACCATGCCTGGCTAATTTTGTATTTTTAGTAGAGACAGGTTTCACTATGTTGGCCAGGCTGCTCTGGAACTCCTGACGTCGTGATCCTCCCACCTTAGCCTCCCAAAGTGCTAGGATTACAGATGTGAGCCACCATGCCTGGCCTATAATCTTTACTATAATAAAATAAAAAATATGTCTATTAGTTATAGTAATAATCATTATAATACTTCTAGTAGTAATTGAAGATTTTTTTTCACTACGGCTACAAGTCTGGTTTTTGTCAGTCCTACTCTACTGTACCTACATAGAGCAAGGGTAATAATTCTTTTATTTGAAAGTTCCTTTCTCCTCCCACAGATCTTTTTTTTTTCTTGGTGGTGTACCTTACAGCCTCAATATATCAAATGATTTTGTCTCCCCTTGGGATCTTTTAGAAAAACTTGCTGTCACAATTTTCATTTACAACGAAGTAGAAAAGTAGGATAAAAGCTTAATTTATCACTCATGTGTTTGATGATCCAAAAATCGTTGTTGATCATTAAACACCTTGAATATAAAGAGGGATGAGAATATGTACTATTGCACCATTCCTTATTTCTCTACATACATTCCCTCTTTTTGTCATTTGTACAATCTGTTCTAGTCAAACAAAACCTGTTTCAGCTTCTAGAATATAAGTTACACTCTTTCTTATCTTCAGGCCTTTGGAAAACCTTAGGCATCTCTTCTCCTTTTCTCTTGTTCTCTACCTTTAAAAGGAAGTCTCTGATAGTTCCAAAACAGGTTAGGTGTTTCTCCCTGTGCATTTAAGTACTTATTGCACTTTATTTTAATTGCTTGGCTTTTTTCCCCCTGTATCTCTTCCTAGATTCCTTGGATGCTAAATTCTGTGAAGGCATTGACTGTGTCTGTTTCCAAGTACCCACAGTAAATAAACGAGAATAGTTACTTAGAATATCAGCAAATCAGTATATGTTGGAATTAAGGTATTAACACACACGTACACAGACCACCCAACTGAGTATGCCAGTGTTACAGATGAGCAAATCACAGCTCACAGTGGTATAGTGACCTCCTCAGTGTCTCAAAACCAGCTGGTGGCAGAACTAGAGTAACCACTCAGGGGACGTTACTGCCCATCCAAGTGTTCTTCCTTTCACACCATATTACCTTTTTCCCAGTATAGCTCTGTTTTAATAAGGGCCAAGGACTTGAACTACAATCTTTTTTTTTTTTTCTGAGACGGAGTCTTGCTCTGTCGCCCAGGCTGGAGTGCAGTGGCCCGATCTCGGCTCACTGCAAGCTCCGCCTCCCGGGTTCACGCCATTCTCCCGCCTCAGCCTCCTGAGTGGCTGGGACTACAGGCGCACGCTACCACGCCCGGCTAATTTTGTTTTTGTATTTTTAGTAGAGACGGGGTTTCACTGTGTTAGCCAGGATGGTCTCTTATCTCCTGACCTCGTGATCCGCCCGCCTCGGCCTCCCAAAGTGCTGGAATTACAGGCATGAGCCACCGCGCCCGGCCTTGAACTACAATCTTAAAGCTCTAATTGTGGCAAAAGTTTAATCACCAGTCAAAATATAGAAGCCCCAGGTCTTTCCCAGTGCCCTCTCCACAAAGGCTATCATATAAGAAATTTGACTGAAATTCCTTTTTATATGTCTGACCTTGAATTTATTTCTACGCATATACTTTATCTTGAGAACCTACTCAAAAATTTATACGTTAGAATTTCCTATATGCCCTTCTGCCCTTTATGTACTTTACATACATTAACTTACATGATTATCACACAACTCAGTAGAAATTTATTATTCTCATTTTACAGATGATCAAACTGAAATTAAGCTGAGTAATTTACCCAAGTCCACTCATGGAGTAAATGGAGGATGGGTAATAGAAATCTGGGTCTGTCTTTCATGAAGTGCATGCTTTCACCTGCTTTGTTTTTGTATTTGCTTCTCATTTATGCCATTGTAAGTCTGGAGTATCCCACCCAAAAGAGAGCCCTTTATCATTCAGCTGAATAATAGCTCTTATTGTAGGGGCTGAGCTTCATTTGTGCCTTTTTACATTTTAAAGGGCTGTGAAGAAAAAAAGACACTTGGAGAACTCTTCTCTTGTTATTTCTAAAACTCAGTGGGTATGTGTATGTTGGTGGGCAAAGACAGGTTTAAATATTGCATTTATTTTTGAATTTTTAATTGGCATAATAATGTATTGTCATTTAAGTTTTAACCTAGACCGCTATGAGCAAGAATATTGCCCACTCAAATTAGGCTGCAAAATCCCACATAGTTTGATTAACAAACAGCATTCTTTATTCAGCTTTGGTTTGTGGCCTGTATAAAATAAGGTGGCCTTCATACACTGAAACCATGAACTCAGCCATCCTTTATTATTTCCTTCATTGCCTTGTGTATATACACAGGAAAAGAAAAATGTCTCAATACAAAGTTAAACTTCCCTTGGCCTGGATGTCAGCAGAGCCCCTAAAATTTTTGAAGAGTAAATCAATGTTCTCTAAGATTAAAGCTTTGAGGCACAGCAAATCCTCAATAGAGCGATAACTAAGACTGCACCCGTGTCTGCGGACAGAAAATGTTGCCAATCCTCAAAGCATATCTCTCTTGTTCTTAAAGAGATAGAAATATACTATCCCAATGGCTTCAAAAGATTATGTTATGCCTTCATGAAACTTCTTGGATTTTACCAATCTACTTCTCGAAGCTAGCAATATATCTATCATTCACACACAGTACACACACACGGTTATCTGCCTTCACATACCCTTTAAATGTTGCTCCTGTTTTAACTTTTATCTCTGCACCTATGTGGTCTCTTCAGAATCATTATACCCTCTATGCCAGGCACATGGCAGGAAACTTAGTTTGAGCTCCATAAGAAACAAAGTCTGAGATAGGAATTTGTGTGCAAGAAGTTTATTGGGAATGATCACAGCTGTGGTCAAAGGAAGGGGCTAAGAGAGTAGTTGAATTGCAATGCAATTATAATAATGGCCTTAGCCTGTCTTATGGGGAATTCTAAAATTGGATTAATTCTTCAGAGTTGTCCCACCTTGAGGCAAATGGGTGGATTTTAACCAAATCATTGGCCAGTCGTTAATGCGGGCTTTCCTCTAGGAATGGGTAAGATCTTGAGCAAAGCAGCTCTCTGGCTGGAGGCAGTTTCTAGAGAAAGATTCACTTGAGAACCATCATCTGCCAACAGTTTCAACATCTGGGAGTATGAGCAGGTGCGGTCTGAAGGAAAGACATGGTCAGCACACCACAGCGCCCCCAGGGCACGTACAGATACTTATTGTATGAATGAATAAATGTGTGCTGGTATGCGCCAGCATACCAAACTACAGTCATGTGCCAGAGTCAGAAAAAAAAAAAAAAAAAAACCATGATGTTTGGTTCATGATGTTTGGTTCATGCTTTTAGAGTTATTTTGGGGGACCGTTGTTTTATCCTATATGCAAAAAGAAAAAAGGAGGAAGAGGAGAAAAAGGCAAAGGAGAAGAAGAAGAAGGGCCTGAGTTTTAGCCAGTTTTATATTTTAAGTGTTTTAAGCCACCACAAAAAGTGTATGCACTTCTAAAACAGGTTGTCCAATGAGTATTGTTATTCAAACCAAAGCTAAAATCGAAGAGCTTGAAGAAAAGAACAGTAAAGTCTCTGAAAAACACTACAGGAAGGATATGTATCTCTTTAAGGCCAAGAGAATTATGCTATGGGGTTGGCAAGATTTTCTAGATTTCATGCTGGTGAATCTGCCTCCTTGTCCTGCTCCTCATTAACAATTTGAAAAGGATCTCCTGGCAATTCCCAGGTTGCTGTCCCCACTCCACATTGTCACCTCCTGCTGGGACTAGTTCACCCTCTCCTAGTTAGCCTCCTTCTTTATGATCTAGGGTCCCACCACCACCATTCTGCCAATTCCCAAGCCATCCTTCACATTATATAGCCAGGGCATCTACCATTTAAGTCAAATTTGTCATTCCCCCACATAAAACACTGTATTACTTTCCTTAAGATCCTTTGAAAGGCAGTAAATGTCCTTAAGCAGCTTCTTTCTTCTTCTTCAACCTTATTCCCTACAGGTTCCTCATATTCACATATCCACACACTACATACACCACATCTGTCAGTCCTGAATATCTTCATTTATTCAACAATTATATATTATTATATACACATATTGTGATGTTAGAGATATTATATGGGGAATGGTAAATAATATGCAGAAGTGTACAACAACATGTCTTCCAGGGAAGGCACTTCTTTTCTTCTTCTTCCTGGAATGCCTTTTCTTTATGAATGAGGTAAACATTTATGCATTCATCAAAAATCCAACTCAGAGATAACACATTCAAAAAAAAATCTCGGCCCGGCCTGGTAGCTCACACCTGTAATCCCAGCACTTTGGGAGGCCAAGGCGGGCAGATCGCAAGGTCAGGAGATTGAGACCACCCTGGCCAAGATAGTGAAACCCCGTCTCTACTAAAATGTAAAAAATTATTCGGGCATGGTGGCGCGCGTCTGTAGTCCCAGCTACTCGGGAGGCTGAGGTAAGGGAATCACTTGAACTCGGGAGGCGGAGGTTGCAGTGAGCCCCACTGCACTCCAGCCTGCTAACAGAGCAAGACTCCATCTCAAAACAAAAACAAAAACAAAACAAAACAAAAAAACAAACTCATTAACCATCTACCCAACCAAGATAAGCAACTCCTTTTGATTAGCTTGGATCATTGCATTCTATGCATATATGTCTTTATAGTTCACTATATATTCAAACTTAAAAATTTTTTTGGATGTTTTATTATGTAGTATATATGATACATATACATAAAATAAATATGTAACATTTATATGTAGACATATTTATATATAGTTCATACATATATTTATATGTCTATATATGCTGAAGCATTAAAATAAATAACCGTAAACCCACCACCCATATATGAGAACTAGAACATTACCCCTATTCCGGTTTCTACCTATATGCCTCTTTCCTGGACTGATTTTTCATTTTATCCTAGAATTATCACTATCCTGAAATGTGTATTTATAACTCTCTTCATTTTGTTTTTATATCAAGTATATGTGCTCTTATTTTTTAGCACTGTATTATTTACTTTGCATTATATTGAGGTTTGAAATTGTAATATAATCACACAATGTACAATTTTTCAGTAGTGAAAATGAATACATTTCAACTAAACACAACACCATCAATGAATGCTAGAAATAATAATGCTGAATAAAACAGAAAGTAGTATCTGACCACATACATTATGGTTCCATTTTTATTGCAATATATTTTAATTATTTTTTAACCTGTATATTTTTCCCACTAGTGTAGGGAGACTCCCTGAAACTGAAACTATTGCTACAGAATAAAAGATGAAATGCTCCTGATTATTTTAAATACCAAATTGCCTGCAGGATTGTGTAAAGACAATGCCAGGTTGGACTGCCAGAATGAGCCAACAGCATGTGATGTGCTTCCCCCTGCAGAGAGCCTATGAACGGATGTGCAGTCAGGAAGGTTTCACATCACCAAGATTCCTATCCCAAAAAAAGCAGATGTTCATAGCTCTGGGAATGAAATGCAACCCTTGTGGAGAGCCCATAAAACGATACATGAGGGGCACCTGTTCATATGGATAAGCTAGGGCTATAAACACCTTCATCTTGCCAGGGCTCTTCAAGG